>NC_000021.9:10651149-10814560 GCF_000001405.40 Homo sapiens
GACTCTGTGTCCATCAAGGGTTGAGTGACCCCGTTCATCAAGCTGTTGGTGTCAGAAGCTTCCAGTTGCTCTACTGTCCTTCACTTTTTTTCTCCCAGTGTCTTTGCATTTCCCTATGTTTTTCTCTGTATATAGAGTCTCTGCTTTGCCACACTCATCTTCAATGTAGATTAATTATGCTGATGAGAAGGTAATGTGTGAGGATTGTATATATTTTCTTTTCTTACAACTATAGGATTTTTCATTCAGTTAAGAGGTAAACAGATTAACATTGGAGGCTATTCCATTTAACTAGCCCAAGTTCCTATTTCACTTTATATATCCCTCCCACACTGCCGTACGTCTCGAAGAAATGACTGCCAGAAGACTTTGCTTCTAAATTCTTAGCAATAACTTTCAATGAATTGCTTTCAAATAAGTTATTCCTAACTTAAAATTTTATTGTGTTCAAAGAAACTCGTCCTTCTAACAGGCTTCCACATATGCCGATAGAACGTTCCACCACTGACAGGAGGGCAGAGTACCAATGATTCTAATTACAGGAGCTACTCCAAGGAAAGCCTCAGTGATATTTGCGTTTGAGTCCGTCCATTCCATTCGAGTACATTCTATTCCATTCTATTCCATTCGATTCCATTTCATCTGATTTCATTCCGGTCCACTCCATTGCATTGCATTCCATTCCATTCCAGTCCATTCCATTCCATTCCATTCCATTTCATTCTATTCCATTCCATTCCACTCGAGTCCATTCCAAACCATTCCATTCGAGTCTTTTGCATATCATTCCATTCCATTCGAATTCATTGCATACCATTTGAGTCCATTCCATTCAATTACATTCCATTCCATTCGAGTTCATTAAATTCGATTCCATTCCACTCGAGTCCATTCGAGTCCAACCCATTCCATTCGATTCCATTCCATTCTATGCCATTCAAGTCCATTCCATTGCATTCCATTCGAGTCCATTCCATTCCACTCGAGTCCATTCCATTCAATTTGTATCCATTCCATTCAATTTGAATCCAATGCATTCCATTCCATTCCATTCGAGTCCATTCCATTCCACTCGAGTCCATTCCATTCAATTTGTATCCATTCCATTCCATTTGAATCCATTGCATTCCATTCCATTCCATTTGAGTCCATTCCATTCGATTCCATTAGAGACCATTCCCTTCCATTCCATTCAATTCGAAACCTGTCCATTCCATTCCATTCGAGTCCATTCCGATCCATTCCATTCGAGTCCATTCCATTCCATTGAACTCCATTCCATTCGAGTCCATTGAGTTCCATTCCATTCCATTCGAGTCCTTTCAATTCCATTCCATTCGAGTCCATTCCGATCCATTCCATTCGAGTCCATTCCGTTCCATTGCACTCCATTCCATTCGAGTCCTTTGAGTTCCATTCCATTCCATTCGAGTCCTTTCAATTCCATTCCATTCCATTCCATTCAATTCCACTCGATTCGATTCCATTACATTACATTCGAGTCCATTACATTCCAATCCAATCCATTCTATTCGATTCCATTCCATTCCATGCCATTCCTTTGCATTCTACTCGAGTCATTTCCATTCCATTCCATTCCATTCTAATCCATTCCATTTCATTCGAGTCCATACCATTCCATTCCAATCGAGTCCACTCCATTCCATTCCATTCCTTTCGAGCTCATTCAAATCCACTAGTTTCCTTTCGATTCCATTCCATTCCATTCAACTCCATTTCATTCCAATACATTCCATTCCATTCGATTCCATTCCATTCCATTACATTCCATTCGATTCAAGTCAATTCAGTTCCATTCCATTCCATTTGAGTCCATTCCACTCCATTCCATTCGAGTCCATTCCAATCCATTCCATTCCATTCAAGTCCATTCCATTCTATTCCATTCGAGTCCATTCCATTGCGTTCCATTCTAGTCCATTCCATTCCATTCCATTTCATTCGTGTCCATTCAGTTCTATTGCATTTGAGTCGATTCCATTCCATTCCATTCAAATCCATTCAATTCCATTCCATTCCATTCCTGTCCATTCCATTCTATTGAATTCGAGTCCATTCCATTCCATTCTATTCGAGTCCAATCCATTCCATTCCATTCAATTCGAGTCCAATCCATTCCATTCCATTCAATTCGAGTCGATTCCATTCCATTCCATTCCATTCGAGTTCATTCCATTCAATTCCAGTCCATTCCATTTCATTCCATTCCATTTGAGTCCATTCCATTCTATTCCTTTCGAGTCCATTCCATTCCATTCCATTAGGGTCCATTCCATTAAATTCCATTCCATTCCACTCAATTACAAAGCAATCCACTGCATTCGGGTCCATTCCATTCCATTCATTCCATTGTGGTCCATTCCATTCAATTCCATTTGAGTCAATTTCATTCCATTCCTTTGGAGTCCATTCCATTGCATTCCATTCCATCACTTTCGACACCATTCAATTCCATTCCATTCAGTTTGAGTCTATTTAATTCCATTACATTCGAGTCCATTCCTTTGCATTCCACTCCATTCGAGTACATTCCATGGTATTCCATTTGAATCCATTCCATTGCATTAAATTAGATTCCATTCCATTAGTGTCCATTCCATTAAACTCCTTTCCATTCCATTCGAGTCAATTCCATTCCATTCGTGTCAGTTCCATTCCAATACCTTCGAGTCCATTACATTAAATTCCATTCTTTTCCATTCAAGTCAATTCCATTCCATTCCATTCGGGTCAATTCTAATCCATTGCACTCAATTCCAATCGAGTGCAGTCCATGCCATTCGAGTAAATTAGATTTCATTTCATTCCATTCGAGTCCCTTCTATTCCATTCCATTCCATTCGAGTCCCTTCCATTACATTCCATTACATTCGAGTCCATTCCATTCCATTCCATTCCATTCCATTCCATTCCATTCCACTCCATTCCATTCCATCTGGGGCCATTCCATTCGAGTCCATTCCATTGCATTCCATACCATTCGAGTCCATTCCATTCCATTCCATTCAACTCGAGTCGATTCCATTCTATTTCATTCCATTCATGTCCATTCCATTCCATTCGAGGCCATTCCATTTCATTCCATTCGAGTCCATTCCATTCCTTTCCATTCCATTCCATTGCATTCCTTTTGAGTCCATTCAATTCAATAGCATTCCATTCGAGTCCATAACATTCCATTCCATTCCATTCCATTTTTCCATTCCATTACATTCCATTCCATTCGATTCCATTCCTTCCCATTCGAGTCCATTTCATTACATTCCACTCCATTCCATCCTAGTACATTTCTTTCTGTTACATTCCATTGCAGTCAATTCCATTGAATTCCATTTCTTGGCATTCGAGTCCATTAAACTCCATTCCATTCAAGTCCACTCCATTCTACTCCATTATTTTCGAGTCCATTCCATTCGAATCCATTTCATTTCACTCCATTATTTTCGAGTCCATTCCATTCTATTCTATTCGAGTCCATTCCATGCCATTCCATTCGAGTCCATTTCATTCCATCCATTCTGTTCCTTTTAGGTCCATTCAATTCCATTGCATTCCGATCGAGTCCGTTCCGTTCCATGCAAGTCCATTCGATTCCATTCTATTCCATTTGAGTCCATTCCACTCTATTACTTTCGAGTCCTTTCCCTTCCATTCCATTCTATTCCTTTCAACTCCATTCCATTGTATGAATTTGTATTCCATTCCAGTCCATTCCATTCCATTCCAGTCCATGACATACGGGTCCATTTCATTTCATTCCATTCCATTCGGGTCCATTTCATTCCATTCCACACCATTCTTGTCCATTCAATTTTCTCCATTCCATTCGATTCCATTCCATTCGATTCCATTCGAGTCCTTTCAATTCCATTGCACTCGAGTCCATTCAATTCCATTCCATGCTATTCCATTCGAGTCCAATACTTTACATTCCATTCCATTCGAGTAATTTCCATTCCATTCGAGTCCATTGCCTTCAATTCCATTGGAGTCCTCTCCATTCCATTCTATTCCATTTGAGTCCTTTCCACTCCATATATTCTAGTCCATTCCATTCAAACCCCTTCCATTGGAGTCAATTCCATTCCATTCCATTCCATTCTATTCCATTCGAGTCCATTCCTTTCCATTCCATTCCATTCGAGACCGTTCCATTCCATTGGAGTCAATTCCACTCCATTCCATTGGAGTCCATTCCATTACATTCTATTCCAATTGAGTCCATTCCATTCCATTCCTTTCGAGTCCATTCCATTCTATTCAAATCCATTCCATTCCAGCCCATTCCATTCGAGTCCATTCCATTCCATTCCATTCGAATCCATTCCATTCGAGTCCATTCCATTCCATTCAATTCGAGTCATTAGATTCCACTCCATTCCATTCCATTCGAGTCCATTCCATTCCATTCCATTCCATTCCGTTCCGTTCCATTCCATTCCATTCCATTCCATTCCATTCCATTCCATTCCACTCATGTCCATTCAATTCAATTCCATTCGAGTCAATTCCATTCTATTGCATTCGAGTCCATTCCATTCTGTTCCATTCCATTAGATTCCAGTCCATTCCACTCAATTCCATTCGAGATCATTCCAAACCATTCCATTCCATACCATTCCATTCCATTCCTTTCCATTTGGGTCCATTCCATTTGAGTCCATTCCATTCCTTCTATTCCATAACATTTCATTCGAGTCCATCCCATTCCTTTCCATTCCACTCGAGTCCATTCCATTCTAAACCATTCTATTACAGTTCATTCCATTCGAGTCCATTCCATTCCCCTCCATTAGAGTCCATTCCATTAGAGTCCACTCCAGTAAAACCCATTCAATTCCATTCGTGTCTATTCCATTCCATTCCATTCTATTAAAGTCCATTCCATTCCATTCGAGTCCATTCCATTCCATTCCATTCAATACCATTCCATTCCAATCCATTCTATTCCATTCAAGTCCTTTCCATTCCATTCCATTCAATTCTATTCAGATCAATTCCATTGTTTCCATTCGAGTCCATTGCATTCCATTCGAGTCCATTGAATTCCATTCTATTCGAGTACATTCTATTCCATTTCGTTCCATTCCAGCCCTTTCCATTCCTTTCCGTTCCTTTCATGTCCATTCCATTCCATTCCACTCCATTCCATTCCATTCCACTCCATTCAATTCCATTCCACTCCATTCCATTCAATTCCATTCCATTCCATTCCATTCCATTCCATTCCATTCCATTAGAGTCGTATCCTTTCCATGCCATTCCATTAGGGTAAATTCCATTCTATTCCACTCAATTCCATTCCATTGCATTCCATTTCATTTGAGTCCACTCCTTTCCATTCCATTCAACTCGAGTCGATTTCATTTCATTCCATTCCATTCGAGTCCATTCCGTTCCATTCGAGTCCATTCCATTCCATTCCATTCCATTTAACTTGAGTCATTTCCATTAAATTCCATTCCTTTCCAGTCCATTCCATTCCATTTGACTCCATTCCATTCCATTGCATTTGAGTCCATTTCATTTCATTCCATTCCATTCCATTCCATTCAATTCCATTCCATTCGAGTCCATTCCATTGCATTCCATTCCATTCGAGTCCATACCTTTCTATTCCATTTGAGTCAATTCCATTCCATGCCTTTCGACTACATTCCATTCCACTCCATTCCATTCCATTCCACTCGAGACTGTTCCAATCCATTCCAATACATTTGAGTCCATTCTATTCCATTCGGGTCCATTCCATTCCATTCGAGTCCAATCTCTCTCATTTCATTCCATTCCTTTCAAGTCCATTCAATTCCATTCCATTCCATTTGAGTCCATTCCATTCCACTCCATTCCATTCCATTCCATTTCACTCCATTACATTCGTGTCCATTCCATTCGAGTCCATTCCATTCCATTCATGTCAACTCAATTCCATTCCATTCCATACGTTCCATTTTATGCCATTCCATTCGAATGCATTCCATTCTATTCCATTCAAATGAATTCCGTTCTATTCCATTCGAGTCCATTCCATTCCTTTCCATTCGAGTCTGTTCCATTCCGTTCCTTTCTATTCCTTTCAAGTTCATTCCTTTCAATTCCATTCCATTTGAAGGCATTCCCTTCCATTCGAGTCCATTCGAATCCTTTCCCTTCTATTTCATTTGAGCCATTCCATTCCATTCCATTAGTGCCCATTCCATCCAGTTCCATTCCACTCGAACCCATTTCATTCTGTTGAAATCCATTCAGGTCCAATCAATTCAAATCCATTCGAGTCAATTCCATTTGAGTCCATTCCATAGCATTCCATTCCGTTTCACTGAATTCCATTCCATTCCTATCGAATCAATTGCATTCAAATTCATTCGAGTCCATTGCATTCTATTCCATTCGAGTCCATCCCTTTCCATTCCATTAGGGTCCATTCCATTAAATTCCATTCCAATCCATTCGAGTCCATTCCATTCCATTCTATTCCACTCCATTCCATTCCATTCCATCCCTTTCGATTCCATTGCATTCTATTCGCGTCCATTCCGTTCCATTCCATTCCATTCGGGTCCATTCTATTCCATTCCATTTGATTCCATTCCACTCCACTGCATTTCATTCGAGTACATTCCATTCCATTTCATTCCATTCTATAGAATTCCATTCGACTCCATTCCATTCCATTCCATTCCATAGTCAACTTCATTTCCTTACATTCCATTCCAGTTGAGTCCATTCAATTCCATTCCATTCGAGTCTATTCCACTCCATTCCACACAAGTCCATTCCATTCCACACCATTCCATTCGAGTTCATTCCATTCGATTCCAATCCAGTATATTCCATTCAATTCCATTCGATTCAAGTCGATTCAAATCCATTCCACTGCATTCAAATCCATTCGATTCCATTCCATTCCATTCCATTCCATTCTAGTCAATTTCATTCCTTTACATTCCATTCCAGTCGAGTCCATTCAATTCCATTCCATTCGAGTCTATTCCACTCCATTCCATACAAGTCCATTCCATTCCAAACCATTCCATTCGAGTTCATTCCATTCTATTACAATCTAGTAGATTCCATTCAATTCCATTCGATTCAAATCCATTCGAATCCATTCCATTGAATTCAAATCCATTCAAGTCCATTCCATTCCATTCCTTTCGAGTCCATTCCATTGCATTCCATTCCATTCTTTTCGAGTCCATTCAATTCGATTCCACTCCTTTGAAGTCCATTCAATTCCATTCCATTCCATTCGAATCCATTCCATTCCATTCCATTCAAATGCGTTCCATTCCACTACATTCCATTCGAATCTATTCTATTCCATTCCGTTCGCATCCATTCCATTCGAGTCCATTCCATTGCATTCCATTCCATTCGAGTACATTCCATTCTTTTCCATGCGAGTCCATTACTTTCTATTCCATTCCATTAGATTCCATTCCATTAAATTCCATTCCATTCCTTTCGAGTCCATTCCATTCAAATCCATTCCATTCCAATCCATTCCATTCCATTCCCAACAAGTCCATTCCATTCCATTCCATTCCATTCCATTCCATTCCATTCCATTCCATTCTATTCCATTCAAGTCCATTCCATTCCATTCCATTCCATTCCATTCCATTCCATTCCATTCCATTCTGTTCCATTTCATTTCATTCCATTCCAGCACATTCCATTCCATTCGAGTCCATTCCATTTCATTCCATTCTATTGCTTTCGAGACCATTCAATTCCATTCCATTTCATTCGAGTCAATTTCATTCGATTCCATTCCATTGCATTCCATTCCATTGGCGTCCATTCCGTTCTATCCCATTTGAGTCCATTCCTTTCCATTCCATTAGATTCCATTCCATTAGAGTCCATTACATTAAATTATATTCCATTCCATTCGAGTCCATTCCATTCCAAAGGAGTATATTCCACTCCATTGTCTTTGTATCCATTCCATTCCATTACATTCTATTCCATTCATGTCGATTCCATTCCATTCCCTTTCATTCCATTAAATTTCATTACCTTACATTACGTTACATTACATTACATTACATTACATTACATTACATTACATTACATTACATTCGGGTCCTTTCTATTCCATTTCCTTCGAGTCTATTCCATTCCATTGCATTCCAATCAAGTCCATTCAATTCCATTCCATTTCATTCGATTCCATTCCATTGTATTCCCTTCGAATCCATTGCATTCCATTCCATTAGAGTCCATTCCATTAAATCACATTCTGTTCCTTTCAAGTCCATTCCATTCCACTCCAACGTACTCAAGTCATTTCAATTCCATTCGAGTCCATTCCTTTCCATTCCATTCCATTCCACTGGATTCTATTCCATTCCATTCCATTCCATTCCATTCCATTCCATTCCATTCGGGTCCATTCCATTTCATTCGATTCCACTCCGTTCCCTTCCATTCCATTCGAGTCCATTTCATTCCATTCCATTCCTTTCAGATCTATTCAATTCAACTACATTCCATTCAAATTCATTCCATTCCATTCCATTCCATTCCATTCCATTCCATTCCATTCGATTTGGGTCCATTCGATTCCATTCCATTCATGTCCATTCTATTCCATTCGAGTCCATTCCATTCCATTAATTTTGGTTTCATTCCATTCCATTCCATTCAATTCCGTTAGAGTCCATTCCATTCCATTCCATACCATTCCATTCCATTCCATTTCATTCCATTCCGTGCCTTGCAATTCCATTCGATTCCATTCCATTCGGGTCCATTCAATTCCATTCCATTAGGGTCCATTCCATTCCATTCCACTCCATTCGGGTCAATTCCATTCCGTTCCATTCCATTCGATTCCATTTCTTTCCATTCCATTCCATTAAATTCGGGTTAATTCAATTCCCTTCCATTCGAGTCCATTCCATTCCATTCCGTTCCATTCCATTCCATTCCACTCCACTCGATTCCATTCCACTTGAATCAATTCCATTCGAGTGAATTCCTTTCCATTCCATTCGTGTACATTCCACTCCGTTCCATTCAATTAGAGTTTATTCCATCCCATCCCATTTGAGTCCACTTAAATCCATCCCATTCCATTCAAGTCCATTCCATTTTAATCCATTGGAGTCCATTCCATTGCATTCCATTCCATTAGAATCCATTCCATTATATTACATTCAAGTCCATTCCATTCTGTTCCATTACAATCGTTTCCAGTCCATTCCATTCGAGTCCATTCCATTTCATTCCATTCGAGTAAATTCCATTTCATTCCATTCCATTTGAGTCAATTCCATTCCATTCCGTTGCATTCCATTCCATTCCATTCCATTCCACTGCATTCCATTCGTGTCCATTCCTTTCCCTTCCATTCGAGTCCATTCTACTTCATTCCAATCCATTCCATTCCATCCCATTTCATTCCATTTGAGTCAATTCCATTCCATTCCATTGCATTGCATTCCATTCCATTCCAATCAATTCCATTCAATTCCATTCTATTCCATTTGAGTCCATTCAATTGCATTCCATTCGAGTCCATTCCATTCCTTTCCTTTAGAGTCCATTCCAATAAATACAATTCTATTCCATTCAAGTCTGTTCTATTCCATTCCATTCCATTTGTATCCATTCTATTTCACTCGAGCCCATTGCATTCCATTCCATTCGAGGCCATTCCATTCCATTCCTTACTATTCCATTCAAGTCCATTCCATCCAATTCCATTGCATTCCATTCCATTCCATTCAATTCCTTTCCATTCCATTCCATTCCTTTTCCATTCCATTCCATTCCATTCCATTCCATTCCATTCCATTCCACTACATTCCGTTTGAATCCATTCCATTCCATTCCGTTCGAGTCCATTCCATTGGAATCCATTCCATTGCATTCCATTCCATTCGAGTCCATTCCATTCTTTTCCATTTGAGTCCATTACATTCGATTCCATTCCATTAGACTACATTCCATTAAATTCCATTCCATTCCTTTCGAGTCCATTTGATTCCATTCAAATCCATTCCATTCCATTCCCATCAATTCCATTCCATTCCATTCCATTCTATTCAATTCTAGTCCATTCCATTCCATTTCATTACATTCCGTTCCTGTACATTCTATTGCATTTTAGTCCATTCCATTTCATTCCATTCTATTCCTTTCGAGACCATTCTATTCCATTCCATTTCATTCCAGTCCATTCCATTCGATTCCATTCCATTGCCTTCCATTCCATTGGCGTCCATTCCATTCTATGGCATTCGAGTCCATTCCATTACGTTCCATTAGAGTCCATTTCATTAAATTACATTGTATTCCGTTCGAGTCCATTCTATTCAATTTCATTCCATTCGTGTCCATTCCATTCCACTCGAATCCATTCCATTCCGTTACTTTTGAGTCCATTCTACTCCATCCAATTCTATTCCAATCAAGACCATTAGATTCCCTTCCATTCCATTGAAGTCCATTCCACTCCATTCCATTCTAGTTCGTTACATTCCACTCCATTCCATTCGAGTCCATTCCTTTCTACTCCATTCGAGTCCATTCCATTATATTCCATTCCATTCCATTCCGTTCTATTCTGTTCGAGTCTGTTCCATTCCCTTCCGTTTGAGTCCACTCAATTCCTTTCGATTCCATTCCATTCCATTGCATTCAAATCCATTGAATTCCATGCTATTCCATTTGATTCCATTCCATTCCATTCCATTAGAGTCCCTTTCATTCAAAGCAATTCCATTCCATTCCATTCCATTCCATTCCATTCCATTCCATTCCATTCCATTCCATTCGTCTCCTTTCCATACCATTCCGTTCCATTTGAGATCATTCCATTCCATTCCATTCCATTCGGGTCCATTCCATTCAATGCCGTTCGTGTCAATTCCACTCAATTAGGTACGAGTCCATTCCATTGCATTCCATTCCATCGAGTCATTGCATTCCATTCCATTCGAGTCCATTCCATTGCATTCCATTCCATTCCTTTCGAGTCCATTCAATTCCATTAAATTCCATTCGAATACATTACATTCTAATCCATTCGGGTCTCTTCCATTCGAATCCATTCCATTGCATTCCATTCCATTCAAGTCGATTCCATTCTATTCCATTCGAGTCCGTTCCATTACATTACATTCCTTTAAATTCCATTCCATTAAATTCCATTCCTTTCCTTTTGAGTCCATTCCATTCCATTCAAATGCAATCCATTCCATTCCCATTGAGTCCATTCCATTCCATTCCATTCAATTCCATTCCATTCCATTCCATTCCATTCCATTCTATTCCATTCAAGTCCATTCCTTTCCATTTCATTCCAGTCCATTCCATTCCATTCCATTCCAGTCCATTCCATTCCATTTCATTCGAGTCCATTCCACTGCATTACATTCCATTCCTTTAGATACCATTCAATTCCATTCCATTTCATTTGAGTTCATTCCATTTCATTCCATTCCATTGACATCCTTTCCTTTCTATTCCATTCGATTCAATTCCATTCCATTCCATTAGAGTCCATTCCATTAAATTCCATTGGATTCCATTCGAGTCTATTCTATTCCATTTTTTTATTCATGTCCATTCCATTCCACTCAATTCCATTGCATTCCATTACTTTTGTGTCCATTCCATTCCATTCAATTCTTTTCCAATCAAGTCCATTAGATTCCTTTCCATTCCATTCAAGTCCATTCCACTCCATTCCATTCTAGTCCATTTCATTCCACTCCATTCCATACGAGTCCCTTCCATTCTACTCCTTTTGGTTCCATTCCATTCCATTGTATTCCATTTGACACCATTCCATTCCCTTCCATTCTGTTTGAGCGCACTCCATTCCTTTCAATTCCATTCCATTCCATGGCATTCGAATCCATTCAATTCCATGCTATTCCATTTGAGTCCATTCCATTCCATTCCATTAGAGTTCCTTTCATTCAAAGCAATTCCATTCCAGTCCATTCCGTTCCATTACTTTCCATCCCATTCCATTCGTCTCCATTCCATACCATTCCATTCCATTTGAGCTCATTCCATCCCATTCCAATCCATTCGTGTCCATTCCATTCAATTGCTTTCCAGTCAATTCCATTCAATGCCATACACGTCTATTCCGTTGCATTCCATTCCATCGAGCCCTTTGCATACCATTCAATTCGAATCCATTCCATTGCATTCCTTTCCATTCCTTTCGATTCCTTTCAATTCCTTTCCATTCCATTCTAATACATTACATTCTATTCCATTCGAGTCCATTCCATTCGAATCCATTTCATTGCATTCCATTCCATTTGAGTCCATTCCATACTATTCCATTCGAGTCCATTCCATTAGGTTCATTTCCTTTAGATTCCATTCCACTCCTTTCGAGTCCATTCCATTCCATTCAAATTCATTCCATTCCATTCCCATCCAGTCCATTTCATTCCATTCCATTCTATTCCATTCAAGTCCATTCCTTTCCATCTCATTACATTCCAATGAAGTCCATTCCATTCCATTGCATTCCAGTCCACTCCATTCCATTCCATTCGAGTCCATTCCATTGCATTCAATTCCATTGTCATCCATTGCATTCTATTCCATTCGAGTCCATTCCATTGCATTCCATTCCATTGTCATCCATTGCCTTCTATTCCATTAGAGTCCATTCCATTGCATTCCATTCCATTCCTTTCGAGTCCTTTCAATTCCATTAAATTCCATTCAAATACATTACATTCTAATCCATTCGAGTCCATTCCATTCGAATCCATTCTATTGCATTCCATTCCATTCAAGTCCATTCCATTCTATTCCATTCGAGTCCATTCCATTACATTCCATTCCTTTAGATTCCATTCAATTAAATTCCATTCCATTCCTTTTGATTCCATTCCATTCCATTCAAATCCATTCCATTCCAATCCCTTCGAGTCCATTCCATTACATTACATTCTATTCCATTCAAGTCCATTCCATTACATTTCATTCCATTCCATTCCATTCCATTCGAGTCCATTCCATTGCATTCCATTCCATTCCTTTCGAGAACATTCAATTCCATTCCATTTCAATTGAGTCCATTCCATTGCATTCCATTCCATTGACATCCATTCCATTGTATTCCATTTGAGTCCATTCCATTAAATTCCATAGTATTCCATTCGAGTCCATTCTATTCCATTTTTTTCCATTCATGTCCATTCCATTCCACTTGAGTCCATTGCATTCCATTACTTTTGAGTCCATTCCATTCCATTCAATTCTTTTCCAATCAAGTCCACTAGATTCCATTCTATTCCATTCAAGTCCATTCCACTCCATTCCACTCTAGTCCGTTACATTCCTCTCCATTCCATAAAAGTCCATTCCATTCTACTCCTTTCGATTCCATTCCATTCCATTCTATTCCATTTGAGTCCATTCCATTCCATTCCATTAGAGTTCCTTTCATTCAAAGCAATTCCATTCCAGTCCATTCCGTTCCATTACTTTCCATCCCATTCCATTTGTCTCCATTCCATACCAATTCATTCCATTTGAGCTCATTCCATTCCATTCCATTCGGTCCATTCCACTGAATTGCTTTCCAGTCAATTCCATTCAATTCCATACACATCCATTCCGTTGCATTCCATTCCATCGAGTCCATAGCATACCATTCCATTCGAGTCCATTCCATTACATTCCATTCCATTCCTTTCGCTTCCTTTCAATTCTTTTCCATTCCATTCTAATACATTACATTCTATTCCATTCGAGTCCATTCCATTCAAATCCATTTCATTGCATTCCATTCCATTCGAGTCCATTCCATATTATTCAGTTCGAGTCCATTCCATTAGATTCCATTCCTTTAGATTTCATTCCACTCCTTTTGAATCCATTCCATTTCATTCCCATCGAGTCCATTTCATTCCATTCCATTCTATTCCATTCAAGTCCATTACTTTCCATTTCATTACATTCCAATCAAGTCCATTCCATTACATTCCATTGCACTCCATTCCATTCCATTCGTGTCCATTCCATTGCATTCCATTCCGTTCCTTTCGAGTCCATTCAATTCCATTAAATTCCATTCGAATACATTACATTCTAATCCATTCGAGTCCATTCCATTCGAATCCATTCCATTGCATTCCATTCCATTCAAGTCCATTCCATTCTATTCCATTCGAGTCCATTCCATTACATTCCATTTTTTTAGATTCCATTCCTTTAAATTCCATTCCATTCCTTTTGAGTCCATTCCATTCCATTCAAATCCATTCCATTCCATTCCCATCAAGTCCATTCCATTCCATTCTATTCCATTCAAGTCCCTTCCATTCCATTTCATTACATTCCATTCCAGTCCATTCCATTCCATTTCATTCGAGTCCATTCCATTACATTCCATTCCATTGCTTTCTAGACCATTCAATTGCATTCCTTTTCATTCAAATCCATTCCATTCGAGTCCATTCCATTGCATTCCATTCCATTGACATCCATTGCATTCTATTCCATTCGAGTCCATTCCATTAGAGTCCATTCCATTAAATTCCATTGTATTCCATTCGAGTCCATACCATTCCATTTTTTTTTCCATTCGTGTCCATTCCATTCCATTTGAGTCCATTGCATTCCATTACTTTTGAGTCCATTCCATTCCATTCAATTCTTTTCCAATCAAGTCCATTAGATTCCATTCCATTCCATTCAAGTCCATTGCACTCCATTCCATTCTAGTCTGTTACATTCCACTCTATTCCATACGAGTCCATTCCATTCTACTCCTTTCGATTCCATTCCATTCCATTCTATTCCATTTGGTCCATTCCATTACATTCTATTCTGCTTGAGTCCACTCCATTCCTTTCAATTCCATTCCATTCCTTGGCATTTGAATCCATCCTATTCCATGCTATTCCATTTGAGTCATTCCATTCCATTCCGTTAGAGTCCGTTTCATTCAAAGCAATTCCATTTCTGTCCATTCTTTTCCATTCCATTCCATCTCATTCCATTCATCTCCATTCCATACCATTCCATTCCATATGAGCTCATTCCATTCCATTCCTTTCGGATCCATTTCATTCAATTGCTTTCCAGTCAATTCCATTCAATTCCATACACGTCCACTCCGTTGCATTCCATTCCATTGAGTCCATTGCATACCATTCCATTCGAGTCCATTCCATTGCATTCCATTCCATTCCTTTCACTTCCTTTCAATTCCTTTCCATTCCATTCTAATACATTACTTTGTATTCCATTCGAGTCCATTCCATTCGAATCCATTTCATTGCATTCCATTCCATTCGAGTCCATTCCATACTATTCAATTTGAGTCCATTCTATTTGATTCCACTCCTTTTGAGTCCATTCCATTCCATTCAAATCCATTCCATTCCATTCTCATCGAGTCCTTTTCATTCCATTCCATTCTATTCCATTCAAGTCCATTCCATTCCATTTCATTACATTCCAATCAAGTCCATTCCATTCCATTCCATTCCAGTCCATTCCATTCCATTGCATTCGTGTCCATTCCATTGCATTCCATTCCATTCCATTTGAGACCATTCAATTCCATTCCATTCCATTCGAGTCCATTCCATTGCATTCCATTCGACTCCTTTTGAGACTATTCGATTCCATTCCATTTCATTCGAGTCCATTCCATTTGAGTCCATTCCATTGCATTCCATTCCATTGTCATCCACTCCATTCTATTCCATTCGAGTCCATTCCATTCCATTAAATTAGAGTCCATTCCATTAAATTCCATTGTATTCCATTTGAGTCCATTCTATTCAATTCCTTTCCATTCCTGTCCATTCCATTCCACTCGAGTCCATTCCATTCCATTACTTTTGAGTCCATTTCATTCCATTCAATTCTTTTCCACACAAGTCCATTGGATTCCATTCCATTTCATTCAAGTCCATTCCACTCCATTCCATTCTAGTCCGTTACATTCCAGTCCATTTCAATGCAGTCCATTCCATTCTTCTCCATTCAAGTCTATTCCATTCCATTCCATTCGAATCCATTCCATTCCATTCCATTCCATTCCATTCCATTCCATTCCATTCCATTCCTTTCCGTTTGAGCGCACTCTATTCCTTTCGATTCCATTCCATTCCATTGAATTTGAATCCATTCAATTCCGTGTGATTCCATTTGATTCCATTCCATTCCATTCCATTAGAGTTCCTTCCATTCAAAGCAATTCCATTCCATTCCATTCCATTCCATTCATCTCCATTCCATACCATTACATTCCGCTTGAGCTCATTCCATTCCATTCCATTCGAGTCCATTCCATTGCATTCCATTCCATTCGAGTCCATTGTAGTCCATTCCATTCGAGTCCCTTCCATTGCATTCCATTCCATTCCATTCGAGTCCATTCCGTTCCATTCTATTTCATTTCATTCCATTCCATTCCATTCCAATGCATTCTATTCTATTCCATTTGGATCCAATCCATTGCATGCTATTCCATTGCATTCCAAGCATTTGAGTCCTTTCCATTCCATGCTGTTCCTTTTGAGTCCATTCCATTCCATTCCAATCAAGACGATTCAATTCGAGTCCATTCCATTAAAATCCATTCGAATCCATTCCATTCCATTCCATAACATTCGAGTCCATTCAATTCCATTCCATTCGAGTCCATTCCTTTCCATTACATTACACTAATTTCCAATCCATTCAATTCCATTCGAGTCCATTCCATTCCATTCCATTCGAGTCCATTCCATTGCTTTTCATTCCAATGCCTTCGAATCCATTCCATTCCATTCCATTCCATTCCATTCCATTCCATTCCATTCTAGTCCATTCAAATCCTTTAAATTTGAATCCATTACATTGCATAGCATTCCACTCTAGTCCAGTCCACTTCATTCCATCCAAGTCCACACCATTTCATTCCGTTAGAGTCCATTCCATTTAATTCCGTTGTATTCCATTCGAGTCCATTCCATTCAATTCCTTTCCATTCTATTCGAGTCCATTCCATTCCATTCCATTCCATTCCATTCCATTCGAGTCCATTCCATTCCATTCCATTCCATTCCATTCCATTCCATTCCATTCCATTCCATTCAGGTCCATTCTATTCCATTCCATTCGAGTCCATTCCAATCCATTTCTTTCAAGCCATTCCATTCCACACCATTCCATTTGAGTCCATTACATTCTATTCCACTCGAGTCCATTCCACTCAATTCCATTTGAGTCCGTTCCATTGCATTCCATTCCATTAGAGTCTATTCCATTCCATTCAATTTGTGTCCGTTCCATTCCATTCCATTCCATTTTTTTATTCCATTCAATTCCATTCCATTCCTTTCCAGTCCAGGTCATTGCATTCCATTCGAGTCTTTTCCACTCCATTCCAATCCATTCCATTCCTTTCGAGTCCATTCCATTCCATTCGACTCCATTCCATTCCATTGCATTTCATTCTTTCGAGTACATTCCATTACATTCCTTTCGAGTCCATTCCATTAGATTCCATTACTTTAGATTCCATTCCAATAAATTCCATCCTGTTCCTTTTGGAGTCCATTCCATTCCATTCAAATCCATTGCATTCCATTCCTTTCGAGTCCATTCCATTGCATTCCTTTCTAGTCCATTCCATTAGATTCCATTACTTTAGATTCCATTCCAATAAATTCCGTCCTATTCCTTTTGGAGTCCATTCCATTCCATTCAAATCCATTGCATTCCATTCCCTTCGAGTCCATGCAATTCCATTTCATTCTATTCCATTTAGGTCCATTTCATTGCATTTCATTCCATTCCATTCCATTCCATTCCATTCCATTCCATTCCATTCCATTCCATTCCATTCAATTCCTTTCCATTCCATTCGGGTCCATTCCATTCCATTCAAGTCCATTTGAGTCCATTCCATTCCATTTCATTCGATTCCATTTGATTCCAAACCATTTCATTCGAGTCCATTCCATTCTATTCCATTCGAATCCATTCCATTCCATTCGAGTCCATTCCATTCCATTCCGTTCGAATCCATTCCATTCCTTTCCATTCCATTCGAGTATATTCCACTCCATTCAATTCCATTCCATTCCATATCATTCCATTCTATTCTGGTCCATTCCTTTCAATTCCATTAGAGTCAATTCCATTGCATTCCATTCGAGTTCATTCCTTCACATTCCATTCCATTCGAGTGTATTCCAATCCATTCCATTTGAGTGTATTCCATTGCATTCCATTCCATTCTTTTAGAGTCCATTCAATTCTGTTCCATTCCTTTCGAGTCCATTCCATTCCATTCCATTCCATTCCATTCCATTCCATTCCATTCCATTCCATCTGGGTCCATTCCATTCTATTGGCGTCCATTCCATTGGCGTCCATTCCATGACATTCGTGTCCATTCCAATCCATTCCATTCCACTCGGTTCCACTCCATTCCATTCTATTCGAGTCCATTCCATTCCATTCCATTCCATTCGAGTCCATTCCATTACATTCTATTCCATTTGCGTCTATTCCATTCCATTCCATTCGAGTCCATTCCTTTCAATTCGAGTCCATTCCATTCCATTCCATTCGAGTACGTTCCATTCAAGTCCAATCCATTCCATTCCTTTTGATTCCATTCAATACAATTGCATTCCATTCGAGTCCATTCCATTGCATTCCATTCAATTCAAATCCTCTCCATTCCATTTGGGTCCATTCCATCCCATTCCATTCCATTCGAGTCCATTTCATTCCATTCCATTCCATACCATTCGAATCCATTCCATTCCGTTACTTTCCATTCCATTCGAGTCCATTCCATTCCAGTCCATACCAGTCGAGTCCATCCCATTCTATTCCATTTGAGTCCATTGCATTCCATTCCATTCGAGTCCATCCATTCCATTCCATTCGAGTCCATCCATTCCATTCCATTCGAGTCCATCCCATTCCATTCTGTTCCGTTTGAGTCGATTGCATTCCATTCCATTCGAGTCCTTTCCATTCCAACCCATTCGAGTCCATTTCATTCCAATCCCTTCCATTCGAATCCATTCCATTCTATTCCATTCGAGTCCATGCCATTCGATTCCGTTCGAGTCCATTCCTTTACATTCCATTCGATTCCCGTCCATTCCGTTCCATTTCATTCCATTCGAGTCCGTTCCATTTCATTCATTGCATTCCTTTTCGGTCCATTCCATTCCATTCTAGTCCATTCCATTCCATTGAATTCCACTTGAGTAGTTTCCCTTCTATTTCAGTCAATTCTATTCCACTCCACTCCATTCAAGTCCATTCCATTTCTTTCCATTCGAGCACAATCCATTCCATTCCATTGCAATCCATTCCATTCCTTTTGAGTCCATTCCATTCCATTCCATTCCATTCCATTCCATTCCTTTCGAGTCCTGTCAATTCCATTCCATTCAATTCGAGTCCATTCCATTCCATTCCATTCCACTCGAGTCCAGTCCATTCCATTCCATTCCTTTCGAGTCCTGTCAATTCCATTCCATTCCATTCGAGTCCATTCCATTCCACTTGAGTCTGTTCCATTCCATTCCATTCCATTCCATTCCATTCCATTCCGTTTCATTCCATTTCATTCCATTCCATTCGAGTCCATTCCATACCATGACATTCCGTTGTATTCTAGTCCATTCAATTCCATTCCATTCCAATGCATTCCATTCGAGTCCATTCCATTCCATTCCTTTTGGGTCCATTCTTTTCTATTCCATTCGAGTCAATTCCTTTCCATTCCATTAGAGTCCATTCCATTCTATTCCATTCCACTCGAGTCAATTTAATTCCGTTATATTCCATTCGAGTCCATTACATTCCTTTCCATTCTAGTCCATTCCTTTCCATTCCATTCCATTCCACTAGTGTCGTTTCCATACCATTCCATTCCATTCGATTTCTTTCCCTTCCTTTCGAGTACATTCCATTGCATTCCATTTGAGTTCATTCCATTCCATTTCATTCGATTCCATTCCACTCCATTCCATTCAATTCGAGTCTGTTCCATTCCATTCCATTCCATTCGGGTCCATACATTTCAATACCATTTGAGTCAATTCCATTCCATTCCATTGGAGTCCAAGCCATTGCATTCCAATCCATTCGATTCCATTCTGTTCCATTCCATTGCATTCCATTCCATTCTTTTCGAGTCCATTCAGTTCCATTCCATTACTTTCGAGTCCATTCAGTTCCATTCCATTACTTTCGAGTTCATTATATTCCTTTCCATTCGATTCCATTCCATTTCATTCCATTCCATTCTTTTCAAGTCCATTCAATTCCATTCCATTACAATCGAGTCCATTCCATTCCAGTCCATTAGATTCCATTCCATTAAATTACACTGAATTCCGTTCAATTATTTTCCATTCCATTCGTGTACCTTCCATTGCATTCGAGTCCATTCCATTCCCTTCCTTTTGAATCCATTCCTTTCCATAACATTCTATTCCATTAAAGTCCATTCCATTCCATACCATTCAATTCCATTCCAATCCATTGAATTCCACTCCATTCCATTCGTGTCCATTCCATTCCATTCCTTTTGTGGACATTCCATTCCATTCCAATCCATTGAATTCCACTCCATTCCATTCGTGTCCATTCCATTCCATTCCTTTTGTGGACATTCCATTCCATTCCAATCATTTCCAATCCATTCCATTCCAGTTCTTTCCATTCTTTTCCAGTCGACTCCATTCCATTCCATTCCATTGCATTCCATTTCATTCCTTTTGTGTCCTTTCCATTCCATTTCATTCCATGCGAGTACATTCCATTCCATTCAATTCGAGGCCATTCCATTCCAATCGACTCGTTTCCATATCATTCCATACCACTTGAGTCCATTCCATTCCATTCGAGTCCAATCCATTCAATTACATTCGTATCCATTGCATTCCATTCCAGTACATTCCATTCCATTTATTTCATGTACATTCGAATCCTTTCCATTCCATTCGAGTCCATTGCATTCTATTTCATTCAAGTGCATTAAATTCCTTTTCATTAGAATAAATTCCATTAGAGTCCATTGCATTAAATTCCATTCCATTGCTTTCGAGGCCATACCATTCATTTGGCGTCCATTGAATTCCATTCCATTCGAGTCCATTCCATTCCATTCCATTCCATTCCATTCCATTCCATTCCTGTTGGTTCCATTCCACTCCATTGCATTCCATTCCATTCCATTAGTGTACTTTCCATTCCATTCCATTGGGGTCCAATCCATTCCATTCCAGTCCACTCGAGTCATTTCCATTCCATTCCATTCCATTGGAGTCCATTGTATTCCTTTCGAATCCATTCCATTCCATTCCATTCCATTCGAGTCCATTCCATTCCATTCCATTCGAGTCCATTCCATTCCATTCCTTTCATTTCAAGTCCCTTCGCTTCCTTTCCATTCCATTCAAGTCCATTCCATTCTATTCCATTTGGGTCCATTAAATTCCACTTCATTAGAGTCCATTCCCTTAAATTCCATTCAATTGCATTCGAGGACATTCCACACAATTCAAGTCCATTCCTTTCCATTGCCTTCGAGTCCATTCCATTCCAATCCGTAATATTCCATTCAAGTCCATTCCATTCCAATCCTTTCCATTCCATTCAATTCCATTCTATTAAATTGCATTCCCTTCCATTCCATTCAATACTGTTCCATTCCATTCCATTCCATTCTGGTCCGTTTAATTCCATTTGAGTACTTTCCATTCCATTCGATTCAAGTCCATTCCATTGCATTCCATTCCATTCCTTTCATCTCCATTGAATTCCATTATATTCCATTCTAGTCCATTCCATTCGATTCCTTTCTAGTCCATTCCATTCCATTCCATTCAATTCGTGTCCACACCATTATATTCCACTCCATTCGAATCCATTCCATTCTATTCCATTCCAGTCCATTCCATGCCATTCCATTAGAATGCATTCATTAAATGTCACTCCCTTCCTTTGGAGGCCATTCCATTCCATTTGAGTCCATTCTATTCCATTCCACTCCATTCGTGTCCATTCCATTCCATTTGAGTCCATTCCATTCGAGTCCTTTCCTTTCCATTCCATTCCATTCCATTCCTGTTGATTCCATTCCATTCCATTCCATTCCATTCCATTCCATTCCATTCCATTCCGTTCCTTCCCATTCCATTTGAGTCCATTCCATTCCATTTCCTTCAATTCTATTCCATTGGCGTCCATTCCATGACATTCGTGTCCATTCCAATCCATTCCATTCCACTCGGTTCCATTCCATTCCATTCTATTCGAGTCCATTCCATTCCATTCCATTCGAGTCCATTCCATTACATTCTATTCCATTTGAGTCTATTCCATTCCATTCCATTCGAGTCCATTCCTTTCAATTAGAATCCATTCCATTCCATTCCATTCGAGTACGTTCCATTCAAGTCTAATCCATTCCATTCCTTTCAATTCCATTCAATACAATTGCATTCCTTTCGAGTCCATTCCATTCCATTGCATTCCATTCAATTCAAATCTTCTCCATTCCATTTGGGTCCATTCCATCCCATTCCATTCCATTCGAGTCCATTCCATTCCTTTACTTTCCATTCCATTTGAGTCCATTCCATTCCAGTCCATACCAGTCGAGTCCATCCCATTCTATTCCATTCGAGTCCATTGCATTCCATTCGATTCGAGTCCATTCCATTCCATTCTGTTCCGTTTGAGTCGATTGCATTCCATTCCATTCGAGTCCTTTCCATTCCAACCCATTCGAGTCCATTTCGTTCCAATCCCTTCCATTCGATTCCATTCCATTCTATTCCATTCAATTCCATTCCATTCATTTCCATTCGAGTCCATTCCATTTCATTCCATTCTATTCCTATCGAGTCCATTCCATTCCATTCCACTGCATTCGAGTCCATTCCATTCCATTCGAGTCCATTCCATTCCATTCTATTCCATTTCAGTCCATTCCATTCCATTCGAGTCCATTCCATTCCATTCCATTCCATTCCATTCCATTGAATTCCATTCTATTCCGTTTGAGTCTGTCCCCTGCCATTCAATTCAATTCCAGTCAATTCCATTCCATTTGAGTCAATTCCAATGCATTCCTTTCCTTTCAGGACCATTCCTTTCCAATCCATTCGAGTCCCTTCCTTTGAATAACATTGCTTCCTTTCGAGTTCATTCCAATCCATTCCATTCGAGTCCACTCCGTTATATTCCTTTCCATTCGAGTCCATTCCATTCTCTTACATTCGAGTCCATTCCATTCCAATCCTTTAGTGTTCATTCCATTAAATTCCACTCTATTCCATACGGGTCAAATCCATTCCATTCCATTCCATTCCATTCCATTCCATTCTGTTCCATTGAAGTTCATTCCATTCAATACCATTCCATTCCATTCCATTCCATTCCATTCCATTCCATTCCATTCCATTCCATTCCATTTGGGTCCATTTTATTCCATTCTCTTCGAGTCCATTCCATTCAATTCCATTCTGCTCGATTCCAGTCAATTCCATTCCATTGCATTTGAGTCCATACCATTCAATTCCATTCCATTTCATTCGGGTCCATTCCATTCCGTCCCATTTGAGTCCATTCCATTCCATTCCATTCCATTCCACTCAATTCGTTACAATTCTAATCCATTACATTCCATTCTAGTCCATTCCTTTCCATTCGTGTTAATTCCATTCCATAATATTCGAGTCCATCCCATTACATTCGAGTCCATCCCATTCCTTTCTATTCCCTTCCCTTCCATTCCATTGCTTTCAGGTCCTTTCCATTCCGTAGAATTCCATTCGAGTCCATTCCAATCCATTCCATTGTGTTCCTTTCTAGTCCATTCCATTCTATTCCATTCCATTCGGGTACAATCCATCCCATTCCATTCGAGGACATTCCATTCCATTCCACTCAATTGGAGTCAATTCCATTCATTTCCATTCCACTTGAGTCGATTCCATTCCATTCATTTCTTTCAAGTCCATTCCATTCCATTTGAGTCCATTCCATTCCATTGCATTCCATTCGAGTCCATTCCATTCATTCCATTCTATTCCATTCCAATCCATTCTATTTCATTTCAATCCAATCCATTCCATTCCATTCGAGGCCATTCCATTCCAACCATTTCGAGTCCATTCCATTCCAACCCATTCGAGTCCATTCCACTACACTGCATTCCACTCGTTTCCATTCCATTCTATTTCACTGGAGTTCATTCCATTCCCACCCATTCCATTCGGTTCATGTCCATTCCATTTCATTCCATTTCATTCGAGTGCTCTCCATTCCATTCCATTCCTCTCGAGTCGATTACACTCCATTCCATACCATTCGAGTCCATTCTATTCCATTCAAATCCATTCCATTCCATTTGATAGCATTCCATTCCATTCCATTCCATTCCATTCCATTCCATTCCATTCCATTCCATTTCATACCATTCCTTTCAACTGCATTCCTTTCGAGTCCATTCCTTTCCATTCCATTCGAGTCTATTCCATTCCATTCTATTACATTCCCGTCCATTAAATTAATTCCATTCCATTCATTTCGAGTCCATTTAATTCCATTCCATTACTTTCGATTCCATTCCTTTCGATTCCATTCCATTCTATTCCATTCGAGTGCATTTCATTGCATTCCATTCCATTCATTTTGAGTCCATTCCATTCCATTCCATTACTTTCATTTCCATTCCAATCCATTCCATTCGTGTCCATTCCATTAAATTTCATTGTATTCCATTCCATTCCATTCATGTCCATTCTATTCGAGTCCATTCGATTCCATTCAGTACTATTCCTTTCGAGTCCATTCCATTCCAATCCTTTCTTTTCCATTCAAGTCCATTCCATTCCGTTTCATTCCATTCCATTCCATTCCATTCCTTTCCATTCCATTCCATTCCATTCCAATCCTTTCCGCTCGGCTAAATTCCTTTCCATGCCATTCGAGTCCATTCCATGGCATTTGAGTCCATTCCATTCGAGTCCATTCCATTCCACTCCATTCCATTTGATTCCATTCCATTCTATTCCATTCGATTGCTTTCCAATACATTACATTCTAGTACATTCCTTTCCATTCCGTTTTAGTCCATTACAGTCCATTCCATTTCTTTCCATTCCATTCCATTGGGACCATTCCATACAATTCCATTCGAGTGTATTCCATTCCATTACATTCCAGTCCATGCCATTCTATTCCATTTGAGTCCTTTCCATTTCATTCCCTTCCATTTCTTTCAGGTCCATTTCTTTTCTTTCCAATCAATTCCATTCCATTCCATTCAAGTCCATTCCTTTACATTCCATTCCACTCAAGTCATTTTCATTCCATTCCATTCCATTCAAGTGCATTCCATTCCATTCCATTCCATTCAAGTGCATTCCATTCCATTCCATTCCATTCCATTCCATTCCATTGCATTCCATTCCTTTTGAGTCCCTTCGATGCCATTCCATTCCAGTCGAGTCCATTCCATTCCATTCGCATCCATTCCATTAAATTCGAGTCCATTCCATTCGAGTCCATTCCATTCCACTCCATTCCATTAGAGTCCATTCCATTACTTTTGAGTCCATTCAATGCAATTCCTTACCATTCATGTACATTCCATTTAAATTCCATTCCATTCCATTCCATACCTTTCCTTTCCATTCCATTCCATTCTATTCCAATACATTCCATTCCATTCCATTCCATTCCATTCTATTCGAGTACATTCCATTCCCTTCCATTCCAATGGAGTCCATTCCATTCTATTCCATTTGAGTCCATTCTATTCTATTCCATTGGAGTCCATTCCATTCTATTCCACTCGAGTGCATTTCATTACATTCCATTCCATTCGAGTTCATCCCATTCCATTGAATTCGAGTCCAATCCCTTCCAGTCCATTCAATTCCACTACGTACCATTTGATTCCATTCCATTCCATACTTGTCCATTCCATTCCACTCTAGTACTTTTCATTCCATTGCATTTTATTCCATTCGAGTCCATCCCATTCCATTCCATTCGAGTCTATTCCACTCCATTCGAGTCCATTTCATTGCATTCCATTCCAGTCCATTCCATTCCATACTCTTCCATTTGAGTACATTCCATTCCATTCCATTCGAGTTCATTCCATTCCAACCCATTTTTTTCGACTCCATTCCATTTCATTCCTTTCGAATCCATTCCATTCCATTCCATTCCATTCGAGTCCATGCCACTCCACTCCATTCCATTCGAGACCATTCCATTCCATTCCATTAATTTCCATTCTTGTCCATTCCATTCAATTCCATTCGAGTCAATTCTATTCCATTCCATTCGAGTCCATTCCATTGCATTCCATTCCATTCTAGTCCATTCCATTGCATTCCATTCCATTTCAGTCCATTCCACTCTATTCCATTCGAGTCCTTTCCATTGCATTCCATTAGATTCCATTACATTAAATACTATTGTATTCCATTCGAGTCCATTCCATTCCATTCCATTTGTGTCCATTCCATTCCATTTGAGTCCGTTTCATGCTATTCCTTTTGAGTCCATTCCATTCAAATCCATTCTATTCCATTCAAGTCCATTCCATTCCATTCCATTCCATTGGGACCATTCCCCTCCATTCCATTCCAGTCCAATCCATTACACTCCATTCCACTCCCCTCCCTTCTATTCCATTCGAATCCTTTCCATTCCATTCCCTTCCATTTCATTCAGGTACATTACATTCCTTTCCATTCAAATTCATTCCATTCCATTCTATTCGAGTCCATTCCATTTCATTCCATTCCACTCGAGTCATTTTCATTCCTTTCCATCCCATTCGAGTCCATTCCATTCCATTCCATTCCATTCCCTTCCATTCCATTTGAGTCCATACGATTCCATTCCATTCCACTCGAGTCCATTCCATTCCATTCCATTCGAGTCCAATCCATTCGATACCATTCCATTCCCTTCCATTCCATTCGATTCCAATCGATTGTATTCCATTCAAGTCCATGCCATTCTTGTATATTCCATTCCATTACGTTCTATTCCATTTGAGTCCATTCCATTCCATTCTATTCCATTCCATTCCATTCCATTCCATTCCATTCTAATCTATTTCATTCGAGTCCATTCTATTTCATTCCATTCCAGTCCATTCCATTCCATTCTATTCCATTTGAGTCTATTCCATTCCATTCCATTCGAATACATTCCATACCAACGCGTTTCATTCGAGTCCATTCCAATCCCTTGTATTCGAGTCCATTGCATTCCATTCCCTTCCATTCCATTCCATTCCATTCCATTCCATTCGAGTAAATTCCATTCTTTCCATTCCATTCTAGACCATTACCTTCCATTCGAGTCCATTCCATGCCATTCCATTCCATTCCATTCCATTCCATTCCATTTGTTTCCATTCCATTCCATTCCATTCCATTTGAGTCCATCTTATTCGTCTACATTCCATTCCATTCGAGTCCATTCAATTCTATTCCATTCCATTTGAGTCCATTCCAATACATTCCCATTCGAGTCCATTGCATTCCTCTCCATTCCATTCGAGTCCATTCCATTTTATTCCATTTGAGTCGTTGCTATTCCATTCCATTCGAGTGCATTCCATTCTGTTCCCTTAGAGTCTATTCCATTCCATTCCATTCCGTTCAAGTCTCTTCCATTCCATTCGAGTCCATTCCATTCCATTGCATTCGAGTCCAATCCATTCCATGCTATTCTTTTGAGTCCTTTCCATTGGAGACCATTCCTTTCCAACCCATTCCATTCAGGTCCATTCCATTCCATTCCATTCGAATCCATTCCATTCCATTCCATTCCATTCCATTCCATTCCATTCCGGTCCAATCCATTCAATTACATTTGCATCAATTCCATTTAATTCCATTCAAGTCCATTCCGTTACAATCCACTCCATTCGAGTCCAGTCCATTTTATTGAATTCGAGTGCACTCCATTCCATTCCATTACAATGCATTCCATGAAACTCTGTTGTATTCCTTTTGAATCCATTTCATTCCATTCAATTCAATTCGAGCCCTTTCCATTCCATTCCATCCCATTCATGTGCATTCTATTCCATACCTTTTGAGTCCATTCTACTCCTTTCCATTTCATTCGAGTCCATTCCATTCCATTCCATTCCATTAAATTCGAGTACATTCCATTCCATTCCTTTCAAGTCCATTTCATTGCATTATATTACATTCCAATAGAGTCCATTCAATTCCATTCCATTTGAGTCCATTCAACTCCATTCCATTCGAGTCCATTCCATTCCACACCATTCCATTTGAGTCCATTACATTGTATGCCATTCGAGCCCATTCCATTCAATTCCATTAGAGTCACTTCCATTCCATTCCTTTCCAGTCTTTTCCATTGCATTCCATTGCATTCTATTCCCTTCGATTCCATTCCTTTCTGTTCCATTGGATTCCATTCAATTGGAGTCCTTTCCCTTAAGTTCCATTCCATTCCATTTGAGTCCATTCCATTCCATTCCTTTCGAGTCCATTCCATTCCATTCCATTCTATTCCATTCAAGTCCTTTCCATTCGACATTATTACATTCCATTCCTGTCCATTCCATTCCATTCGGGTACATTCCATTCCATTCCATTCGAGTCCATTCCATTCCATTCCACTCCACTCCATTACATTCTACTCCATTCGAATCCCTTCCATTCCATTCCTTTCCATTCCTTTCATGTCCATTCCATCCCATTCCATTCGAGCCCATTTCTTTCCATTCCATTCCAGTCCATTTCTTTCAATTCCATTCCATTACATTACATTCGTGCCCATATTATTCCATTCCATTCCACTCACTTCTTTTCAATTCCATTCCACTACTTTCGAGTCCATTCCATTCCATCTGAGTCCATTCCATTCCATTATTTTCGATACCATACCATTAAATTCCGTTCCATTCCTTTCAAGTCCATTAGACTCCATTCCATTCCATTCGTGTGCATTCCATTCCATTCGAGTCCATTCCATCCCATTCCTTTTGAGTCCATTCCATTCCATTCCATTCTATTCCATTCAAGTCCTTTCCATTCCACATTATTGCATTCCATTCCTGTCCATTCCATTCCATTCGGGTACATTCCATTCCATTCCATTCGAGTCCATTCCATTCCATTCCACTCCACTCCATTACATTCTACTCCATTCGAATCCTTTCCATTCCATTCCTTTCCATTCCTTTCGGGTCCATTCCATTCCATAACATTCGATACCATTTCTTTCCATTCCATTCCATTCAATTACATTCATGCCCATACTATTCCTTTCCATTCCTCTGACTTCTTTTCAATTCCATTCCATTACTTTTGAGTCCATTCCATTCCATGATTTTCGACACCATACCATTAAATTCCTTTCCATTCCTTTCGAGTCCATTAGATTCCATTCCAGTTCATTCCATTGCATTCTCTTCCATTCCATTCCATTTCATTCGAGTGCCTCCATTCCATTCTATTCCATTCGACTCCATTTCATTCCATTCATTCCATTCTATTCTAGTCCATTCCATAACATTACGTTCCATTTGATTCAAGTCCAATCAATTCCATTCCATTTCGTTTGATTCCTTTCCACTGCATTCCATTTGAATCCATTCCATTGCATTGCATTTGAGTCCTTTCTGTTTATTCCATTCGAGGCAATTCCATTCCAATCCATTCGGGTCCATTCCTTTCCATTCCATTGCACTCAAATCGATTAGATTCCATTCCAATCCATTCGGGTCCATTCCTTTACATTCCATTGCACTCGAATCGATTAGATTCCATTCCATTCCATTCGGGTCCATTCCATTCCAATCCATTCCATTCGAATCCATTCCATTCCAGTCCATTCCATTAGGGTGCATTCCATTCTATTCCCTTTGAGTCAATTCCATTCAATTCCATTCAAGTCCAATCCTTTGCATTCCATTTCATTCCTTTCGAGACCATTCAATTCCATTCCATTTCATTCAAATCCATTCCATTCCATTACTTTCGTGTCCATTCCATTCCATTCCATTCGAGTCCATTCCATTCTATTCAGTTCGATTCCATTCCATTCCATTCCATTAGATTCCATTCCATTAGAGTCCGTTCAATTAAATTCCATTCCATTCCATTCGAGTCTATTCCATTCCATTCGAGTCCATTCCACTGCATTCTGTTCGTGTCCGTTCCATTCCATTCCATTCTCTTCCATTCAAGTCCATTGCATTCCATTCCATTCCATTCCATTCCATTCCATTCAAGTACATTCCATTCCGTTCCATTCCATTCAAGTACATTCCATTCCATTCCATTCCCATCCATTCCAATTGGGTCCGTTTCCTTCCATTTTATTCTAGTCCATTCCATTCTATTCTTGTACCTTACATTCCATTCCATTCGAGCCCATTCCATTCCACTCAATTCCTTTCGATTCCATTCAATTCTATTCCATTCGAGTCCATTTCCTTCCATTCCCTTCGAGTCCGTTCTGTTCCATTCCTTTCTATTCCAGGCAAGTCCATTCCACTCCATTTCATTCCATTCCATTCCAGTACATTCCAATACATTCCATTCCATTTCATTCGGGTCCATTCATTTCCATTCCTTTCAAGTCCATTCCATTCCATTCCATTAGGATCCATTCCTTTCCATTCCATTCGAGTCCATTGCATTGCATTCGTGTCCGTTGCATTCGAGTCCATTCCATTCTACTCCATTCTTTTCGGGTCCATTCCATTCCAGCCCATTCCACTCGAGTCCATTCCATTCCTTTCCATATTTCACTCGAGTTGATTCCATTCCATTCCATTCGAGTACATTCCATTCCATTCCATTCCATTCCTTTTGAATCCATTCAATTCAATTGCATTCCATTCGAGTCCATTCAATTTCACTCCATTCCATTGCATTCCGTTTCATTCCATTCCATTGCATTCCATTTCATGCCATTCCATTCCATTCCTTTCGAGTCCATTTCATTCCATTCCAATCCATTCCATTCAATTCGAGTCCATATCATTCCAGTACATTCCTTTCCATTCGAGTCCATTCAAATCGGCTACATTCCATTCCATTCGAGTCCATTCAATTCATTGTTGGTGGGACTGTAAACTAGTTCAACCATTGTGGAAGTCAGTGTGGCGATTCCTCAGGGATCTAGAACTAGAAATACCATTTGACCCAGCCATCCCATTACTGGGTATATACCCAAAGGACTATAAATCATGCTGCTATAAAGACACATGCACACGTATGTTTATTGCGGCATTATTCACAATAGCAAAGACTTGGAACCAACCCAAATGTCCAACAGTGATAGACTGGATCAAGAAAATGTGGCACATATACACCATGGAATACTATGCAGCCATAAAAAATGATGAGTTCATGTCCTTTGTAGGGACGTGGATGAAATTGGAAATCATCATTCTCAGTAAACTATCGCAAGAACAGAAAACCAAACACCGCATATTCTCACTCATAGGTGGGAATTGAACAATGAGATCACATGGACACAGGAAGGGGAATATCACACTCTGGGGACTGTTGTGGGGTGGGGGGAGGGGGGAGGAATAGCATCGGGATATATACTTAATGCTAGATGATGAGTTACTGGGTGCAGTGCACCAGCATGGCACATGTATACATATGTAACTAACCTGCACAATGAGCACATGTACCCTAAAACTTAAAGTATAATAAAAAATAAAACAAAATAAAAAAAAGAAAAAAAATTCCATTCCATTTCATTCGAATCCTTTAGACTCCATTCCATTTGACTCCATTCCATTTCATTCCATGCGAATCCATTCCATTCCATTCTATTCCATTCTATTTTATTCGAGTCCATTCCATTCCATTCCATTCCATTCCATTCGAGACCATTACAATCCATTCTATTCCTTTTGAATCCATTCTATTCCATTCCATTCGCGTCCATTCCATTCGAGTCCATTCCATTCCATTCGTGTCCATTAAATTCCATTACATTGCATTTGAATCCATTCCAGTCCATTCCATTCCACTCCATTAGACTACATACCATTCCTTTCCATTCCATTCCATTCGAGTCAATTCCATTGCAATCCATTCGGGGCCATTCCATTGCATTCCATTCGAGTCCATTCCATTCCATTCCATTCCATTACATTCTATTAGACTCCATTCCATTCCAGTCGAGTCAATTCTATTCCATTCCATTCTAGTCTATTCCATTGCATTCCATTCGTGTCCATTCCATTCCATTCGAGTCCATTCCATTACATTCTATTCGAGTGCATTCCATTCCATTCTATTCCATTCCATTCCAGCCCATTCCACTAGTGTCCATTCCATTCTATTACATATTCCATTGCACTCGAGTTGACTCCATTCCATTCCATTCCATTCGAGGGCATTCCGTTCCATGCGAATCCATTGTATTCTATTCAACTCTAGTCCCTCCATTCCATTCCATTCCATTCGAGTCCATTGCATTCCATCCGTTCCTTTCCATTTGAGTCCATTCCATTCCAGTCCATTCTATTCCAGTCCATTCCACCCGAGTCCATTCCGTTACATTCCGTATTCCATTCCACTCGAATTGATTCCATTCCATTCATTCCATTCGAGGGCACTCCCTTCAATTCGAGTCCATTCCATTCCATTCCAGTTGAGTCCATTCTATTCGATTCCATTCCATTCCTTGCCATTCAATTCCTTTCGAGTCCATTCAATTCAATTGCATTCCATTCGAGTCCATTCAAATACATTACATAAAATTCCAATCCATTCCATTTCATTCCATTCCATTCCATTTGAGTCCATTTCATTCCATTACATTTCATTCCATTCTAGTCCATTCCAATCGGTTCATTCCACTCCATTTGAGTCCATTCAATTCCATCCTTTTTATTCGAATCCATTCCACTCCACTCCTTTCGAGTCCATTCCATTCTACTCCATTCCATTCGACTCCATTCCATTTCATTCCATTCGAGGACATTCCATTCCATTCCATTCTATTCGATTCGATTCCATTCCATTCTATTTGAGTCCATTCCATTTCATTCAAGTCCATTCCATTCCTTTCCATTAGAGTCCATTCCAATCCATTCTATTCCTTTTGAATCCTCCATTCCATTCCATTCCATTCGAGTCCGTTCCACTCGTGTACATTCCATTCCCTTTGTGTCCAATCAAATCCATTATATTTCATTCGAGTCCATTCCATTCCATTCCATTCGAGTCCATTCCATTCCATTCCAATTCATTCCATTCTGTCCATTCCATTCAATTCCATTCGAGTCAATTCCATTAAATTCCATTGTATCCCATTAGATTCCATTCCATTCCATTACTTTCCATTCGAGTCCATTACATTCAATTCTATTCGAGTACATTGCATGCCATTTGAGTCCGTTCCATTCCATTAAATTCCAGTCGAGTCCATTCAATTCCATTCCACTCAGGTCCATTCCATTCCAATCCATTCCATTCCATTCCATTCCATTCCATTCCATTCCATTCCATCCCATCCCACTGCATTTGATTCCTTTCCGTTACGTTCTTTTCCATTCATTTCAGTTCCATTATATTCGATTCCGTTCGAGTCCATTCCATTCCATTCAATTCCAATCGATTCCATTTCATTCCATTCCATTCGAGTCCATTCCATTACGTTCCATTAGAGTCCATTCCATTCCATTCGATTCCATTCCATTCGAATCCATCCCATTCGAGCCCATTCCACTCCATTCCATTCGAGTTCGTTCCATTCCATTCCATTCCATTCTATTCCATTATATTCCACTCCATTACATTTGAGTCCATTCCATTCCATTCGAGTGCATTCTATTCAAATCCATTCTAGTCCATTAAATTCCAATCAATTCCATTCGAGTCCATTCCATTCCATTCGGGTGCATTCCATTCCATTCCATTCGAGTCCATTCCATCGCATTTCATTCCATTCCTTATGAGTCCATTAAATTACATTGCATTCAATTCAAGTCCATTCCATTCTATTCCATTAGATTCCATTCCGTTCCACTCCACTCGATTCAGGGCAATTCCATGCCATTCCATTCCATTCCATTCCATTCCATTCCATTCCATTCCATTCCATTGCATTCGAGTCCATTCCATTCCATTCCAATCCATTCGAGACCAATAAATTCCATTCCATTCCATTCCATTCCATTCCATTCCATTCCATTCCATTCCATTCTTTTCGAGTCCATTCTAATCCATTCAAGTCAATTCCATTTCATTCCATTCCATTCCATTCCATTCCATTCCAAACTGTTCTATGCCATGCCATTCCATTTGACTGCATTCCATTCCATTCCATTCGAGTCCATTCCAATTCATTCCATTACATTAGTTTCCATTCCATTCTATTGAATTTGTGTCCTTTCCCTCCCATTGCATTCGAGTCCATTCCATTCCATTTCTTTCCATTCCATTCCATTCCATTTCATTCCATTGGAGACCATTCCATTCCATTCGAGTCCATTCCATACCTTTCCATTTCATTCGAATCCATTGTATTCCATTCCATTCTGTTCGAGTCCATTCCTTTCCATTCCATTCCATTCCTTTCGACTCCATTCTATTCCATTACCTTCCATTCCATTAGAGTTCATTCCACTCCAATCCATTCCATTCGAGTCCATTCCATTCTTTTCATTCCATTCCATTCCATTTGAGTGCATTCCATTTCACTGGAGTCCATTCCATTCCATTCTATTCCATTCGATACCTTTCCTTTCCATTCGAGTCCATTCCATTCCATTCAGTTCGAGTCCATTACTTTCTATTACATTACATTGCATTACATTTGAGTGTATTCCTTTCCATTACATTCCATTCCATCTGTGTTCATTCCATTCCATTCCATTCAAGTTCATTCCATTCCATTCAATTTCATTCCATTCCATTCCACTTTATTCAACTTCCCCCCATTCCATTCCATTCCATTCGTCTCCATTTCATTGCATTCCATTCCATTCGAATCCATTCCATTCCATTCAATTCCATGCGAGTCTATTCAATTCCGTTGCATTTCATTCCATTCAATTAGGCTCCATTCCTTTCCATTTCATTCCATTCGCGTCCATTACATTCCATTCCTATGGAGTCCATTACTTTCCATTCTATTCAGGTCCATTCCATTCCATTCCAATCCATTCCATTGCATTCGAGTGCATTCCATTCCATTCCATTGCATTTGAGTCCATTCAATTCCATTTCATTCATATCCGTTCCATTACATTCCATTCTTTTCGAGTCCATTCCATTCCATTCAATTTCATTCGAGTCTATTCCATTACATTCCATTGGAGTCCAATCCATTCCTTTCCATTCCTTTCGATTCCATTCCATTCCATTCGAGTCCATTCCATTCCAATCCATTCCAGTCCATTTGATTGCATTCCATTCCATTTTTTCGAGTGCGTTCAATTCCATTCCATTCCATTCGAATACTTTCTTTTCCATTCCATTCAAGAACTTGCCATTGCATGCCATTCCATTCAAGTCCATCCCATTCCATTCCATTCAAGTCCATCCCATTCAATTTTATCCATTCGAGTCCATTCCATTCCACTCCATTCCTTTGGAGTCCATTCCATTCCATTCTACTGCATTCCATTCCAATCCATTCGAGTCAATTCCGTCGTATTCCATTCCTTTCCTTTTGAGTCCATTCAATTCCCTTCCAATCCATTTGAGTCCACTTTATTCCATTCCAGTCCATTCAAGTCCATTCCTTTTCATTCCATTCCATTCAAGTCCATTAAATTCCATTCCATTCCATTCCATTCGAGTCCATTAAATTGCACTCCATTCCATTTGAGTCAATTCCATTGCATTTGACTAAATTCCATTCATTCCCTTTGAGTTCATTCCATTCCATTCCATTCGAGACCATTCTATTCCATTCCATTCGAGTCCATTGCATTATACTCCATTTGATTCAAGTCCATTCAATTCTATTCCATTCCAGTCGAATGCATTCCACTCCATTCCATTCGAGTCCATTCCCTTCCATTGTATTCAAGTCATTCCATTCCATTCTATTCAGGTCCATTCCATTCCATTCCATTCCATTTAATCCCATTCCATTCCACTGCATTCCAGAACATTCCATTCCATTCCATTGCATTCCAATAAATTCCTTTCCATTCCTTTCCATTCCATTGCATTCGAGTCCATGCCATTCCTTTCCATTCATGTCCATTCCATTCCGTTCTGCTCAAGTCCATTCCATTCCATTCAATTCCAATCGAGTCCATTCCATTCGAGTCCGTTCCATTCCATTCAATTCCTTTCTAGTCCATTCCATTCCATTTGAGTCCATTCCATTCCAATGCATTCCAGTGCACTGCATTGCATTCCATTCCATTCTTTCGAGACCATTCAAATCCATTCCATTCAATTCAGGTCCTCTCCATTCCATTTCATTCAAGGTCTTTCCATTGCATATCATTCCATTCGAGTACATTATATTATATTCCATTCGAGTCCATACCATCCCATTCCATTCCATTCAGGTCCGTTCCATTCGAGTTCATTCCCTTCGAATCCATTCCATTCACTTCGATTGCATTCCATTCCATTTCATTCGAGTCCTTTCCATCGTATCTCATTCCTTTCCTTTCGGGTCCATTCAATTCCATTCCAAACCATTCGAGTCATTTCCATTCCATTCCAATACATTTGAGTCCATTCCATTCCATACGAATCCATTAATTTGCATTCCACTCCATTCGTGTCCATTCCATTCAATTCAATTCGAGTCCATTCCATTCCATTCCATTCAAGTCCATTCCATTCAATTCCATTCTTTTCCATTCAAGTCCATTCCATTTCATTCCATTCCATTCGAGTTCATTCCATTGCATTTGAGTAATTTCCGTTCCATTTGAGTCCATTCCATTCCGTTCGAGTCCATTCTTTTCCATTCCATTATGTTCTACTCATTTCCATGCCATTCCATTCCAGTCGAGTCCATTTCATTCCTTTCCATTCTATTCAATTCCGTTCCATACCGTTCGAGTCCATTCCACTCCACTCCCCTCGAGTCCATTGGATTCCATTCCATTCCACCTGAGTCCATTCCATTCCACCTGTGTGCAGTCCATTCCATTCCATTCGAGTCCAGTCCATTCCATTCGAGTCCATTCCATTTAATTCCATTTGATTCCATTCCATTCCATTCCATTCCATTCCATTCCATTATATTTCTTTCAAGTAAATTCAATTCAATTGCATTCCGTTTGAGGCCATTCCATTCCATTCCGTTGAGTCCATTCCTTTCCATTCCATTAACTTCGAGTTCATTCCATTCCATTCCATTCCATTCAATTTGAATCCATTCAATTTCATTCCATTCCATTCCATTCGTGTCCATTCTATTCCATTCCATTCCACTCGAGTTCATTCCATTCCAATCCTTTCGAGTCCAATCCATTCCATTCCATTCCATTCCATTCTTTTCAAGTCCATGCCACTCCATTTCTTTCGAGTCCATTCCATTCCACTCCATTCCATTTGAGTCCATTGCATTCTATTCCATTCGAGTCCATACATTTCCATTCCATTTAGGTCCATTCCCTTCCATTCTATTCCATTCCAGTCCATTCCATTCAATTGCATTGCATTCCTGTCCAATCTATTCCATTTGGGTCCATTCCATTCCATTCCATTCGAGTCCATTGCATTCCATTATATTCCATTTGATTCCTTTCCATTCAAGTGCATTCCTTTCCAAACCATTCAATTCGAATCCATTCCATTCCATTCCATTCAAGTCCATTCCTTTCAATTCCGTTCCATTCGAGTCCATATCTTTCCATTCCATACTATTTGAGTCCATTCCATTCCATTCCATTCCATACGGGTCCATACCCTTCAATTCCATTCGAGTGAATTCGATTCCATTTCATTTGATTCTATTCCATTGAATTCAATTCCATCACATTCGAGACCATTCAATTCCGTTACATTCCTTTCGAGCCCATTCCATTCCATTCCATTCGAGTTTATTCCATTGCATTTCATTCCCTTCGAGTATATTCCTTTACATTCCATTCGAGTCAATTCCATTCCATTCAACTGGTCTCCATTCCATTAGAATCCATTTCATTAAATTCCATTCCATTCATTCGAGTCCATTCCCCTCCATTTCAGTCCACTCAATTCCATTCCATTTCAGTCCATTCCATTCCTTTGTATTCCATTCGAATCCATTCCTTTCCATTCCAGTCCATTCCATTCCATTCCAGTCCATTGCATTCCATTCCATTCCAGTCTTTTCCATTCCATTCGGGTCCATTGCATTCCTTTCAATTTGAGTCCATTTAATTGCATTCCATTCCATTCGATTCGAGCCCAATCCATTCCATTCCATTCCTTTCAGGTTCATTCCTTTCCATTCCATTCCATTCGAGTTCATTCCGTTCCGTTACATTCCATTCCTTTCGAGTCCATTCCATTCCATTCCATTCCATTCAAGTGCAGTCCAATCCATTCTGTTCGACTCCATTCCATTCCATTCAAGTCCATTCCTCTCCATTGCATTCGAGTCAATTGCATTACATGCTATTCTATTCCAGTCCATTCCATTCCATTCCTTTCCATTCCATTCCATTAGAGTCCATTCCATTCCATTCCATTCAACTCCATTGCGTTGCATTCCAATCCAATTTGGTCCATTCCTTTCCATTCCATTACATTCGAGTCCATTATTTTCCATAACATTCCATTCCATTTGGGTGCATTCCATGGCATTCAATTCAAGTCCAGTATATTCCACTCCATTCCATTCAAGTCCATTCCATTCCATTCCATTCCATTCCACTCCATTCCATTCGAATCCATTCCATTCCATTCCATTCGAACACATTTCGTTCATTTTCATTCCATTCCATTCGAGTTCATTCCACTCTGTTACAACAAATTCCATCCTAGTCCATTCAATACAATTCCATCCCATATGGGTCCATTCCACTCCATTCCGTTCGAGCTAATTCCATTCTATTTGAGTCCATTCCATTCCATTGTATTCGAATCCATTCCGTTCCATGCTATTACATTTGAGTCCATTCCATTCCATTCCATTCGAGTCCATTCCATTCAAACCCATTCCAATCCAGTCCATTCTGTTCCATTTCATTCTTTTCCATTCCATTCCATTCCATTCCATTCCATTCCATTCCATTCCATTCCATTCCATTTGAGGCAAATCCATTCCATTGGATTCAATTCGAGTCCATTCCATTCCATTTCATTCCATTCGGGTCCATTCCCTTCAAGTCCTTTTGAGTCATTTCCATTCCATTCCTTTGAGTCCATTCCATTGCATTCCATTCCATTCGAATCCATTCCATTCCATTCCATTGGATTCCATTCCATTGTATTCCATCCGACTCCTTTGGAGTCCATCCAATTACATTCCATTCCATTCGAGTCCATTCTATTGTATTCCATTGGTGTCCATTCCATTCCATTCCATTCCATTCCATTCCATTCCATTCCATTCCATTCGAGTGTTTTCCATTCTATTCCATTCAAGTCCATTCCATTCCACACCATTAGTGTCCTTTCCATTAAAATTCCATTGTATTCCATTCCAGTTCATTGCATTCCTTTCCATTCCTTTCGTGTCCATTTCATTCCATTCTATTCGATTCCATTGCATTCCATTCGAGTCCATTCTGTTCCATTCCATTCTATTCCATTCGAGACCATTCCATTGCATTCCACTGGATTGCATTCCTTTAAATTCCAATTTATTCTATTTGAGTCCATTCCATTCAATTCCTGGACTTCCCATTCCATTGGAGTCCATTCCATTCCATTCCTTTTTAATTCATTCCATTCCATCCTATTCTATTCCATTCATGTCCAATCAAATCCATAACATTCCCTTCCATTGCATTCCATTGCATTCCATTCCATTCCATTCCATTACATTCCATTCCAGTCGGTTCCATTCCCTTTCATTCCATTCGAATGCAATCCATCCCATTCTACCCTATTCAGGTCCACTCCATTTCATTCAATTCGAGCCCATTCCTTTCTGTTCCATTACATTCCATTCGGGGCCATTCCACTCCATTCCATAGGAGTCCATTCCATAACATTACATTCCGTTTGATTCAAGTTCACTAAATTCCTTTCCATTTCAATCGAGTCCATTCCATTGCCTTCCATTCTATTCGAGTCCATTCGTTTCTATTCCATTCGAGTCAATTCCATTCCATTCCATTCGAATGCATTCCATTCCATTCCATTCCACTCCATTCCTATCCATTGGGTCCATTCCTTTCCATTCCATTCCATTCGAGTCCTTTTCTTTCCTTTACATTCCATTCGAGTCCATTCCATTCAATTCCTTTCGAGTCCTTTCAATTAAATTCCATTCCATTCAAGTCCATGCCACTCCATTCCATACGAGTCCATTCCATTCTACTCCATTCCATTCGTGTCCATTGCATTCTATTCCATTTGTTTGCATTCTTTTCCATTCCATTCGAGTCCATTCCATTCCATTATATTCCATTCGACTCCATTCCATTCAATTTCATTCCACTCCAGTCCAATCTATTCCATTCGAATCCATTCCATTCCATTCTATTCCATTTGAGTCCATTCCATTCCATTTCATTCGTGTCTATTCCATTCCAAACCATTCCATTCGAATCCATTCCATTCCATTCCATTCCAGTCCATTCCATTCAACTCCATTCCATTCAAATCCATTCCATTCCATTCCATTCAAGTCCATTCCATTGAACTCCATTCAATTCGAGTCCATACATTTCCATTCCATTCTACTCGAGTACATTCCACTCCATTCCATTCCATTCGTGACCATACCATTCAATTCCATTCGAGTCAAATCCATTCCATTCCATTCGATTCCATTCCTTTGCATTCCATTCTATCCCTTTTGAGACCATTCATTTCCATTCCATTCCATTAGAGCCCAGTCCTTTCCATTCCATTTGAGTCCATTCCATTGCATTCCTTTCCATTCAAGTATATTCCATTCTATTCCATTCAATTCAATTCCATTCCATTCCTTTGGACTCCATTCCATTAGAATCCATTCCATTAAATTCCGTTCCATTCCATTCGAGTCCATTCCATTCCATTTTAGTCCATTCAATTCCATTCCATTTGAGTCCATTCCATTCCATTCCATTCCATTCCATTCCATTCCATTCCATTCCATTCCATTCCATTCCATTCCATTCTATTCTATTCAAATCCATTCCAGTCATTTCCATTCCATTCCATTCCATTCCATTCCATTCCAGTCCATTCCATTCCATTCGGGTCCAGTCCATTCCATTCCATTCGAGTCTTTTCTATTCCTTTCGAGTCCATTGCATTCCAATCCATTTGAGTCCATTCCATTCCATTCGAGTCCATTCCTTTCCATTCCTTTCCATTCCATTCAAGTCCATTCCATTCCTTTTGGGTCCATTCCGTTCCATTCCATTCCATTCCAGTCCATTCCACTGGAGTCCATTCCATTCCATTCCATTCCATTCCATTCCATTGCATTCCATTCCATTCCATTCCATTCCATTCCATTCCATTGCATTCCATTCCATTCCATTCCATTCCATTCCATTCCATTCCATTGCATTCCATTCCATTCCATTCCATTCCATTCCATTCCATTCCATTCCGTTGCATTCCATTCCATTCCATTCCATTGCATTCCATTCCATTCCATTGCATTCCATTCCATTCCATTCCATTCCATTGCATTCCATTCCATTCCATTCCATTGCATTCCATTCCATTCCATTGCATTCCATTCCATTCCATTCCATTCCATTGCATTCCATTCCATTCCATTCCATTCCATTCCATTCCATTCCATTTCATTGCATTCCATTCCATTCCATTCATTTCTGGTCCATTCCATTTCATTCCAGTCGAGTCCATTCCATTCTAAGCCATTCTACTTGAGTCTCTTCCATTCCATTTCATTTGACTCCATTCCATTCCATGCTATTCCATTTCAGTCCATTCCATTCCATTCCACTCGGGTCCATTCCATTCCATTCCATTAGAGTCCATTGCATTCCATTGCACTCCATTTTGGTCCATTCCATTCTTTCCGTTCCATTCGAGTCCTTTATTTTCCATAACATTCCATTCCATTCACGTGCATTCCATGCCATTCCATTAGAGTCCAGTCCATTCCACTCAATTGCATTCGAGTCCGTTCCATTCCATTCAAGTTCATTCTATTCCATTCCATTCGAGACCACTGCATTCCATAACATTCCATTCCATTACTTTTGGGTCCATTCAATTCAACTGCATTCCATTCGTGTCCATTCCACTGCATTCCATTCCATTCCATTCCATTCCATTCCATTCCATTCCATTCCATTCTATTCCAACCCTTTCAATTCCACTCCATTCCTTTAGAGTCCATTCCTTTCCATTGGAGCACATTTCATTCCTTTACGTTACATTCCATTCGAGTTCATTCCATTCCATAACATTTAATTCCATTCAAGTCCATTGAGGGCCATTACATTCCATATGAGTCCATTCCACTCCATTCCGTTCGAGTCCATTCCATTCCTTTCGAGTCCATTCCATTCCATTGTATTTGAGTCCATTCCATTCCATGGTATTCTGTTTGAGTCCATTCTGTTCCATTCCATTCCATACAAACCCATTCCACTCCAGTCCATTCTATTCCATTCCATTCTTTTCCATTCCATTCCATTTGAGCCCAATCCATTCCATTGCATTGAATTCCAGTCCATTCCATTCCATTCGGGTCCATTCCCTTCAAACCCATTCGAATCAATTCCATTCCATTCCTTCGAGTCCATTCCATTGCAATCCTTTCCATTCGAGTCCATTCCATTCCATTCCACTGGATTGCATTCCATTGTATTACATCCGAATCCTTTCGAGTCCATTCAATTCCATTCCATTCAATTCGAGTCCATTCCATTCTATTCCATTTGAGTCCGTTCCATTCCATTCCATTCCATTCCATTGGATTGCATTCCATTGTATTACAGCCGAATCCTTTCGAGTCCATTCAATTCCATTCCATTCAATTCGAGTCCATTCCATTCTATTCCATTCAAGTCTGTTCCATTACATTCCATTCCATTCGAGTCTATTCCATTCAATTCCATTCCATTCCATTCCATTAGTTTCCTTTCCATTAAAATTCCATTGTATTCCATTCCAGTTAATTCCATTCCATTTCATTCCATTCGTGTGCATTTCATACCATTAGAGTCCATTCCATTCCATTCAATTTGAGTCCATTCCATTCCATTCTATTCCATTCGAGATCATTCCATTGCAGTCCATTGGAGTCCATTACTTTAAGTTCCATTCTGTTACATTCGAGTCCGTTCCATTCCATTCCATTCAATTCCTGGCCTTTCCATTCCGTTGGAGTCTATTCCATTCCATTCTTTTTGAAGTGATTCCATTCCATCCCATTCTATTCTATTATTGTCCATTCCAATCCATATCATTTCATTGCATTGCATTCCATTGCATTCCATACCATTCCATTCGTGTCCATTCCCTTTTATTCCATTCGAGTGCATTCCATTCCATTCCATGCCATTCGGCTCCACTTCATTCTATTCCATTCGAGTCCATGCCTTTCCATTCCATTCCATTCCATTCAGGTCCATTTCTTTCCATTACATACGAGTACATTCCATAACATTACATACCATTCGATTCGAGTACATTAAATTCCTTTCCATTCCATTCTAGTCCACTCCACTCCATTGCATTCGAGTCCATTCGATTTCATTCCTTTCTATTCGAGTCCATTCATTCTATTCCATTCTAGTCCATTCCTTTCCATTCCATTCTATTCCATTCAGGTCCATGGCATTCCATTACATACGAGTCCATTCCATAACATTATATTCCATTCGATTCAAGTACATTAAATTCCTTTCCATTCCTTTCGAGTCCACTCCACTGCATTGCATTCAAGTCCCTTCCATTTCATTCCTTTCTATTCGTGTCCATTACTTTCTATTCCATTCGATTCAATTCCATTTCATTCCATTCGATTGCATTCCATTCCACTCTATTCTTCTCCATCGAGTCCATTCCTTTCCATTATATTACATTGGAGCCCTTTTCATTCTGTTACATTCCATTCAAGTCCCTCCATTCCATTCCTTTTGAGTCCATTCAATTAAATTCCATTCCATTCAGTCCATGCCACTCTATTCCATACGAGTCCATTCCATTCCACTGCATTCCATTCGTGTCCACTGCATGCTATTCCATTTGAGTCCACGCATTTCCATTCCATTCGAGTCCATTCCATTTCATTATATTCCCTTCAAGTCCATCCCTTTCAATTGCATTCCATTCGAGTCCAATCCATTCCATTATAGTCCATTCCATCCATTCCATTCTATTCCATTTGGGTCCATTCCATTCCATTTCATTCGTGTCTATTCCAAACCAATACATTCCATTTGAATCCATTCCATTCCATTCCCTTCCATTCCATTCCATTTGAGTCCATTCCATTCAATTCCATTCCTTTCGAGTCCATACCTTTTCATTCCGTACTACTCGAGTACATTCCATTCCATTCCATTCCATTTGGGTCCACACCCTTCAATTCTATTCGAGTCAAATCCATTCCATTCCATTCGATTCCACTCCATTGCATTCCATTCCATCCCTTTCGAGACCATTCAATTCCATTCCATTCCATTCGAGACCATTCCATTCCATTCCATTTGAGTGCATTCCATTGCATTCCAGTCCAGTCGAGTACATTCCATTCTATTCCATTCGATTCCATTCCTTTCCATTCCATTCCATTGGACTCCATTCCATTAGAATCCATTTCATTAAACTCCATTCCATTCCATTTGAGTCCATTCCATTCCATACGAGTACATTCAATTCCATTCCATTTGAGTCCATTCCATTCCATTCCATTCTGTTCCATTCAAGTCCATTCCATTCCATTACAGTCCATTCCATTTCATTCGGGTCCTGTCTGTTCCATTCCATTCGAGTCTTTTCCATTCCATTCACTTCCATTGCCTTCCATTCCATTCCTTTCCATTCCATTCCATTTGAGTCCATTCCATTCCATTCCATTTTAGTCTATTCCATTGCATTCATTTCCATTCCATTTTAGTCTATTCCATTCCATTCCTTTCCATTCCATTCAATTCCATTCCATTCCTTTCAAGTCCATTCCATTCCATTCCATTCGAGTCCATCCCTTTCCAGCCCATTCCACTCGAGTCCATTACATTCCGTTTCATATTCCATTGCACTCCAGTTGATTCCATTCCATTCCATTCCATTCGACAGCATTCCTTTCCATTCGAGTCCATTCCATTCCATTCAAATCCATTCCATTCCATTCCAGTTCATTCTATTCTATTACAGTCCACTCCATTCCATTCCATTAGGTTCCAGTGCATTCCATTCCATTCGAGTCTTTTCCACTCCATTTGAATCCATTGCATTTCATTTGATATGAGTCCAATCCATTCCATTCCATTCAAGTACATTCCATTCCATTCCATTCCATTCCATTCCATTCGAGTCCAGTCCATTCCATTCCATTCCTTTCGGGTCCATTCCATTCGAGTCCATTCCTTTCCAGTCCATTCCACTCGAGTCCATTCCTTTCCATTCCATATTCCATTCCACTCTACTCCATTCCATATTCCATTCCACTCGAGTTGATTCCATTCCATTCCACTCCCTTCAAGGGGATTCCTTCCAATTAGAGTCCATTCCATTCCATTCCATTCGAGTACATTCCATTCCAATCCTTTTGAATCCATTCAATTCAATTGAATTCCCTTCAAATCCGTTCGAATTCATTCCTTTACATTCCATTCTATTCGAGTCCATTTCATTCCATTCCATTCCATTCCATTCCATTCAGGTCCACTTCATTCCATTACATTCCTTTCCATTCGAGTCCATTCAATTCCATTCCATTCCATAAGAATCCATTCCATTCCATTCCATTCGACTCCATTCCATTCCATTCCATTAGAGTCCGTTCTGTTCTATTCCATTTGAGACCACTGCATTTCATTGCATTCCATTCCATTCCAGTCCATTCCTTTCGGGTCAGCTCAATTCAACTGCATTCCATTTCTGTCCATTCCATTGCATTCCATTGCATTCCATTCCATTCCAATCCATCCCATTCCATTCCGTTCCACTCCATACCTTTCGAGTCCATTCCATTCCATTCCATTCGAGTACATTTCATTCAATTACTTTCCATTCCATTGGAGTTCATTCCACTCCATTACATTAAATTCCATTCAAGTCCATTCAATGCCATTCCATTTCATATGAGTCCATTCTACTCCATTCCGTTCAAGCCAATTCCATTCCATTCGATTCCATTCCATTCCATTTTATTCAAGTCCATTCCATTCCGTGCTATTCCATTTGAGTCCACTCCATACCATTCCATTCGAGTCCATTCCATTCAAACCCATTCCAATCAAGCCCATTCTATTCCATTCCATTATTTTCCATTCCATTCCATTCCATTCCATTTGAGCCCAATCCATTCCATTGCATTCAATTCAACTCCATTCCATTCGGGTCCATTCCCTTCAATTCCATTCGAGTCAAATCCATTCCATTCCTTCGAGTCCATTCCATTGCATTCCATTCCATTCGAGTCCATTCCGTTCCATTCTGTTGGATTCCATTCCATTGTATTCCATCCAACTCCTTTCGAGTCCATTCCATTCCATTCCATTCTAGTCCATTTCATTCCATTCCATTCGAGTCTATTCCATTCAAGTCCATTCCATTCCATTCTATTAGTGTCCATTCCATTAAAATTCCATTTTATTGCATTTGAGTTCATTGCATTCCAATCCATTCCATTCGTGTCCATTTCATTCCATTCAAGTCCATTCCATTGCATTTCATTCGAATCCATTCCGTTCCATTCTATTGCATTCAAGACCATTCCATTGCATTCCATTGGAGTCAATTCCATTAAATTCCAATTTATTCCACTCGAGTCCATTCCATTCCATTCCATTCGATTCCTGGCCTTTCCATTCCATTGGATTCCATTCCATTCCATTCCTTTTGAATTCCTTCCATTCCATCCCACTCTATTCCATTCATGTCCATTCCAATCCATAGCATTCCATTCCATTCCATTCAATTCCATTCCATTTCATTCAATTCCATTCTATTCCATTCCATTCCATTCGGTTCCATTCCCTTTCATTCCATTTGAGTGCATTCCATTCCATTCCACTCCATTCGGGTCCATTCCATTCCATCCCTTTCGAGACCATTCCATTCCATTCCATTCCATTCGAGCCCATTCCATTCCATTCCATACGAGTCCATTCCATAACATTATATTCCATTCGATTCGAGTCCACTAAATTCCTTTCCATTCCATTCGAGTCCTTTCCACTCCATTACATTCGAGTCCATTCCATTCCATTCTATTCGAGTCCATTCCTTTATATTCCATTCGAGTCAATTCCATTCCATTCCATTCCGTTCGAGTGCATTCCATTCCATTCCATTCCACTCCATTCCTATCCATTGAGTCCATTCCTTTCCATTACATTCCTTTCGAGTGCTTTTGATTCTATTACATTTCATTCGGGTAGATTTCATTCCATTCCTTTCGAGTCCATTCAATTAAATTCCATTCCATTCGAGTCCATGCCACTCCATTCCATACGAGTCCATTCCATTCTTCTCCATTCCATTCGAGTCCATTGCATTCTATTCAATTCGAGTCCATTCTTTTCCATTCCATTCGAGTCCATTCGATTCCATTATATTCCATTTGAGTTCATTCCATTCAATTGCGTTCCACTCGAATCCAATCCATTCCATTGGAGTCCACTCCATTCCATTCCATTCTGTTCCATTTGAGTCCATTCCATTCCATTTCATTCGTGTCTATTCCATTCCAAACCGTTCCATTCGAATCCATTCCGTTCCATTCCATTCCATTCGAGTCCATTCCTTTCAATACCATTCCATTCGAGTCTATACGTTTCCATTCCATACTACTCGAGTACATTCCATTCCATTCCTTTCCTTTCAGGTCCATACCATTCAATTCCATTCGAGTCAAATCCATTCCATTCCATTCGATTCCATTCCTTTGCATTCCATTCCATCCCTTTCGAGACCATTCAATTCCATTCCATTCCATTCGAGCCCATTCCATTCCATTCCATTCGAGTCCATTCCATAGCATTCCTTTCCATTCGAGTACATTCCATTCTATTCCATTAGATTCCATTCCATTCCATTCCACTGGACTCCAATCCATTAGAATCCATTCCATTAAATTGCGTTCCTTTCCATTCGAGTTCATTCCATTCCATTTTAGTCCATTCAATTCCACTCCATTGGAGTCCATTCCATTCCATTCTATTCTATTCAAATCCAATCAATTCCATTCCATTCCATTACAGTCCATTCCGTTCAGTTCCAGTCCATTCCATTCCATTCCATTCGAGTCTTTTCTATTCCTTTTGAGTACATTGCATTCCAATCCATTCAAGTCCATTCCATTCCATTCCATTCGAGTCCATTCTGTTCAATTCCTTTCGATTCCATTTGAGTCCATTCCATTCCATTCTATTACTTTTGGGTCCATTCCATTCCAATCCATTGGTGTCCATTCCATTCCAGTCCTGTCCATTCGATCCCACTCCATTTATTCCACTCCATTCCATTCCATTCCATTCCACGCGATTCCATTCCATTTGAATCAATTCCTTTTGAGTCCATTTCGTTCCTGTTCATTCCATTCCATTTCAGTCCACTCCACTCCTTTCCACTCAAATCCACTCCACTCCACTCCACTCCGTTCCATTGCATTCCACACCAGTCCCCTCCTCTCCACTCCACTCCACTGTGTTCGATTCTATTCCTTGCCATTCTCTTTCATTCCACTCTGTTCCATTCCACTACCCACCACTCCATTCATTTCTGTTGCACCCCATTCCATTCCACTCCAATCCACTGCACTCCACTCCACATCATCACATTCCATTCAATTCCATTCGATGCTATTTGATTTCATTCCATTCAATTCCATTCCATTCAATTCCATGGCATTCGATTCCATTCCTTTTGATTCAATTCCATTCCATTCCAATTTATTCGAGTCCATTCTGTTCCAGTGCATTCCATTGGAGATCATTGCATTCGCGCCCACTCCATTCCACTCCATTCCATTTGAGTCCATTCCATTCTAGTCCATTCCATTGCACTCCATTCCTTTACATTGCATTCCATTCCACTCCATTCCATTTCATTCCACTCCACTCCATACCACTCCCCTCCTCTCCTTTCCATTCCACTCCATTCCACTCCTTTCCACTCCACTCCACTCAATTCAATTCCACCCCACTCCACTCCACTCCAATCCGTTACATTCCTTTCCATTCCTCTCCATTCTGCTCATCTCGTATCCACTCAACTGCACTCCACTCCACTTGAGTCCATTCCATTCCACTCAACACCATTTCTCTCCTCTCCACTCCACTCCACTCCACTCCACCCTATTCCATTGCATTCCTCTCCACTCCACTCCAGTGCACTCTGTTCAATTCCATTCCTTCCCATTCCATTCAATTTCACTACATTCTACTGAACTCACTCCACTGCATTCAATTCCATTCCACCCCATTCCATTCCAATGCATTCCAAACCAATCCACTCCACTTCACCGCATTCCATTTGAATCCATTCGATGCCATTTGATTCCATTCCATTCGATTCCATTCCATTGGATTCCATTCCATGCGATTGTGTTCCATTCCATTCAATGCCATTCGATTCCTTTCCATTGGATTCCATTCCATGCGATTGTGTTCCATTCCATTCAATGCCATTCGATTCCATTCCATTGGATTCCATTCAATTGGATTCCATTCCACTCGATTCCGTTCCATTTGATTCCATTCGGGTCCATTCCATTCGAGTCCATTCAATTCCAATCCATTCCATTCCATTCCACTCCAGTCCACTCCACTTCCTTAACCGCATTCCACTCGATTCCATTCGATGCCATTCGTTTCCGTTCCATTGGATTCCGTTCCGTTGGCTACCATTCCATTCGATTCTACTCCATTCCATTCCGTTCCATTCGATTCCCTTCCATTCGGTACCATTCCGTTTGAGAACTTTCCATTTGAGTCCATTCCATTCCATTCCATTGCATTCCACTCCAGTCAACTCCACTGAACTCTACTCCCTACTATTTCATTCCTTCCCATTGCATTCCATTCCACTGCATTCCACTCCACTCCAGTCCATTCAAATTCATTCCACCGCATTCCTTTCCACTATATTCCTCTGCACTCCACTCCACTTCACCACATTCCATTTGATTCCATTCGAAGCCATTTTATTCCATTCCTTTTGATTACATTCAATTCGATTCCATTCCATTCGAGTCCATTCCATTGGAGTCCATTCCATTTGAGTACATTCCATTCCATTCCATTCCAATCCACTGGATTCTTTTCCATTACATTCCACTCCACTCCTCTCCACTCCATTCAATTTCATTCCTTCCCATTCCATTCCACTCCACTCCATTCCCCTCCACTCCACTCAATTCCACTTCATTCCACTCAAATCTACTCCATTCCATTCCATTCCAATCCACTCCACGCCAATCCACTCCATTACACTCCAGTCTATTCCATTTCATTCCATTGCATTACACTCCAGCCCACTCCACTGCACTCCATTCAATTCCATTCCTTCCCATTCCATTCCATTCCACTCTATTTCACCCCACTCCAATCCACTCCATTCAATTCCATTCCACCCCTTTCCATTCCACTACCTGCCACTCCAATCTTGTACAATCCACTCCATTCTATTCCATTCCTTCCAATTCCATTACATTTCACTCCATTCCACTCAACTTCACCCCACTTCACAGCATTCCATTCAATTCCATTCAATGCCATTGGATTCCATTCCATTCGATTGCATTCCATTTGATTGCATTCCATTTGATTCCATTTCATCCGATTCCATTCCATTCGATTCCATTCCTTTTGAATCCATTCTATCCGCGTCCATGCCAATCGACTCCATTCCATTCCAGTCCATTCCATTGCAGTCTGTTCCAATCCATTCCATTCCATTTCAAACCACTGCACTCCACTCCACTCCATGCCATTGCACTCAATTCTATTCCATTCGTTTCCGTTTCACTCCATTAAACTCCACTCCACTCCACTCCACACCACTTCACTCCATTCCACTGCATTCCACTCCATTCCAATTTGTAGCATTCCTTTCCATTCAATTCCGCAGCCTTCCATTCCACTTCACTGCACTCAACTTCTTTCCATTCCATTCCATTCCTCTCTACTCCACACCACTCCATTACAATTCCATTCCACTCCATTCCATTCCACTCCATTCCACTCCATCCACTCCACTTCACCGCAATCCTATCAATTCCATTCGATGCCAATCGATTCCGTGCCATTGTGTTCCGTGCCATTTTGTTCCATGCCATTCGATTCCACTCCATTCCATTCCTTTCAGTTCCATTCCATTGCATTCCACTATATTCCTTTCCATTCCACTCCATTCCATTCCATTCCATTCCATTCCATTGCACTCAACTCCACTGCACTCCATTGAACTCCATTCCACTCCGTTTCACTCCAGTCCACTCCACTCAATTCCGCTACATTACACTCCACTCCAATCCACTCCAGTACACTCCAATCCATGAAAATCCATTCCATTCCATTCCACTGAATTTCACTTTACTCTACTCCACTCCACTTAAGTGCATTTCATCCCACTCCACTCGAATCCACTCCAATCCATTCCACTCCACTCCACTCAATTCCATTCCACTCCATTCCATTCCATTCCATTCCATACCACTCCTTTCCACTCCACTCCACTGCACCGTATTCCATTTGATTCCAGTCGATGCCATTTGATTCCATTCCATTTGATTCCATTCCATTTGATTCCATTCCATTTGATTCCATTCCATTCGAGTCCATTCCATTCCAGTCCATTCCATTAGAGTCCATTCCATTTGAGTCCATTCCCTTCAAGTCAATTCCTTTCCATTCCTTTCCATTCCATTCCACACCATTCCATTTCATTTCACTGCATTCCTTTTCATTCCAATCCAATTCACTCCACTTCACTGCACACCACTCCTTTCAAATCCATTCCACTCCACTCCACTGCAATCCACTCCATTAAACTTCACGCAACTCCACTCTACTCCATTCCATTCCTTTAAATTCCACTCCATTCCTTTCCACTCCATTCTACTTCACTCCCCTCCAGTCCACTCAACTCCACTCCACTTGTGTGAATTCCCTTCCACTCCACTCAAATCCACTATATTCCACTCCATTCGAATCCACACCACTAAACTACATTCCACTCCATTCCTCTCCACTCAATTACTTTCCATTCCATTGCATTCCACTCCACTCCAATCCTCTCCACTCCATTCCATTCCATTGCATTCCATTGCTCTCCAATCTACTCCTCTCCACTCCATTCCATTCCAACCCATTCCATTCCACTCCATTCCACTCCACTCCACTTCACTGCACTCCATTTGATTCCATTCGATGCCATTTGATTAAATTCCATTCGATTCCATTCCATTCGATTCCATTCCACATGATTCCACTCCGTTTGATTCCATTCCATTCCATTCCATTCCATTCTTTTCCATTCGATTACTTTCCATTCCAGTACGTTGCATTCCATTCCATTCCGTTTCATTCCATTCCAATCCAATCCACTTTTCTCCACTCCACTCCATTGCATTCCATTTCAAGGCACTCCATTGCACTCCACTCCATTAAATTCCATTCCTTTTCATTCCATGCCATTCCACTCCTTTCCACTCCACTCTACTCCTTTCCATTCCATTCCGCACCATTCCATTGCACTCCTTTCCACTCCACTCCCCTCCAATTCACCGCATTCCTTTTGATTCCATCCGATGACATTCGATTCCTTTTCAATCGTATCCACTCCATTCCATTCCATTCCTTTCAATTCCATTCCAGTTGATTCCACTCCATTCTATAACATTTATTTCCATCCGATTCCTTTCCATTTGATTACATTCCATTCCAGTCCATTCCATGCCATTCCATTCCATTTCATTCCATTTCACCCTACTCCACTCCACTCCACTCCACTGCACTCCACTCCATTAAATTCCATTACTTCCCATTCAATTCCATTCCAATCAAATCCGCTCCACTCCATTCTATTCCTTTCCAAACCATTGTTTGCACTCCATTCAACTGCAATCCACTCCACTTCACCGCATTCCATTCAATTCCATTCACTGCCATTCGATTCTATTCCATTTGATTCCCTTACAATCGAGTCCATTCCATTCCAGTCCATTCCATTCCAGTTCATTCCATTCTAGTCCATTCCATTCCAGTTCATTCCATTCGAGTCCATTCCATTCAAGTCCATTCCATTCGTGTCCATTTGATTGCATTCCATTCCATTCCATTCCATTCCATTCCATTCCGTTCCATTCCAGTCCAGTCCTGTGAATTCCATTCCATGTTTTCCACTCCATTCCATTCCATTCCCTTCCCTTCCATTCCATTCCATTCCATTCCATTGCATTCCTTTTCACTAAACTCCACTCTGTTCCATCACATTCCTTCCCATTCCAATCCACTCCATTCCACTCGACTCCATTAATTTCAGTTCCACCCCATTCCATTCCACTCCATTCCACTCCACTCCATTCTGCTTCACCGCATTCCGTTCGATTCCATTAGATGCCATTCAATTACATTCCTTTCGATTCCTTTCCATTCCATTTCATTCCATTCCATTCAATTCCATTCCACTTCACTCCATTCCATTCCACTTCACTCCATTAAATTCCACTCCTCTCCACTGCATTCCACTCCATTCCACTCCATTGCATGCCACTCCATTCCATTCCATTCCATTCCATTCCACTCCATTCCATTCTGTTCCATTCCGTTCCACTCCGTTCCATTCCATTCCATTCCGTTCCATTCCGTTCCATTCCATTCCACTCCATTCCACTCCATTCCATTCCATTCCATTCCACTCCACTTCACTCCATTCCACTCCATTCCACTCCATTCCGTTCCATTCCATTCCATTCCACCACATTCCATCCCATTCCATTCCACTGCACTCCATTCAACTGCACTGTATTTCATTTGATTCCTGTCGATGCCATTTGATTCCATTCCATTCGATTCCACTCTATTCATGTCCCTTCCATTCCAGTCCATTCCATTCGAGTCCATTCCATTCGAGTCCATTCCATTAGAGTCCATTCCGTTTGAGTCCATTCCATTTCATTCCTTTCAGTTCCATTCCATTCCACTCCATTCCATTCCGTTGCCCTACACTCAATTCCATTCCACTCCACTCCATTTCACTTCATTCCACACCACTCCATTCCACTCCACTCCACTCCACTGCATTCCATTCCATTCAATTCCACTCCATTCTATTCCACTCCATTCCACTCCATTCCATTCAACTGCATCCCACTCCATTCAACTGCATTCCATTTCATTTGATTCCATTCCATTCCATTCCCTTCCACTCCACTCCATTCCTTTCAATTAATTTCTGTCCCATTCCATTCCTTCATATTCCATTCCATTTCATTCCATTCCACTCCTCTCCTCTCCACTCCATTCAACTCCATTCCACCCCATTCCATTCAACTCCATGCCACTCCACTGCCCTCCAGTGGACCACATTCCATTCGATTCCACTTGATGCTGTTCGATTCCATTCCATTCAATTCCACTCTATTCTATTTCATTCCATTCAACTCCATTCCATTCTATTCCATTGCGTTAAATTCCATTAAATTTTATTCTGTTGCATTCGAGTCAATTCCATTCGATTCTATTTCCTTCCATTCCATTCCATTCCTTTCCATTCCATTCCATTCCATTCCATTCTACTGCACTCCACTCCAATCCTCTGGACTCCACCCCATTCAATACCATTCCATTCCATTCCATTCCATCCCGTTTCATTAAATACCACTCCATTCCATTCCACTCCACTCCACTCCACTACAATCCACTCCATTCCTCTCAATTCCATTGCACTCCATGCCGTTCCACTCCACGACATTCCTTTCAATTAATTTCTGTCCAATTCCATTCATTCCCATTCCATTCCATTACATTCATTTCCACTCCGCTCCTCCCCATGCCATTCAACTCCATTCCACCCCGTTCCATTCCACTCCATTCCACTCCACTGCACTCCAGTGGACCACATTCCATTCGATTCCATTTGATGCCGTTCGATTCCATTCCATTCGATTCCACTCTATTCTATTCCATTCCATTCGATTCCATTGGATGACATTCGATTCCATTCCATTCGATTCCACTCTATTCTATTCCATTCCATTAGATTCCATTCCATTCAATTCCATTGCGTTCAATTCCAGTAATTTCTATTCCGTTTCGTTCGAGTCCATTCCATTCGAGTCTATTTCATTCTATTCCATTCCATTCCTTTCCATTCCATTCCATTCCATTCTACTGCACTGCACTCTAATCATCTGGACTCCACCCCATTTAATACCATTCCATTCCATCCTGTTTCTTTTAATACCACTAAATTCCATTCCACTCCACTCCACTCCACTCCACTACAATCCACTCCATTCCACTCCATTCCATTCCACTCCATGCCATTCCATTCCACTGCAATCCAATCCAAACCACTCCACTCCATTCCATTCCTTTCCTCTCCATTCCACTCCATTCCATTCCATTCCATTCCACTCCACTCCACTCCGTTCCATTCCATTCCAATCCATTCCATTCCGTTCCATTCCACTCCATTCAATTCCATTCCATTCCTCTCCATTCCCTAGCACTCCATTTCACTCCATGCAATTGCATTTCATTTCGTTTGATTCCATTCCAACCCATTCCCTTCTAGTCCTCTCCACTAAGTTCAATTCCTTTCTGTCCCATTCCATTCCTTCCCATTCCACTCCATTCCACTCCATTTCACCCTGCTCCTCTCCACTCCCTTCAATTCCATTCCACCCCATTCCATTCCACTCCATTCCACTCCTGTGCACTCCAGTGGACTGCATTCCGTTCAATTCCATTCATTGCCATTCGATTCCATTCCATTCGATTCCACTCCATTCCATTCCATTCCATTCCATTCCATTCCATTCCATTCCATTCCATTAGATTCCATTGCATTCAGTTCCATTAAATTCGATTCCGTTCCATTCGAGTCCATTCAATTCCATTTCATTCCATTCTATTCTGTTCCACTCCACTCCACTCCATTCACCTCCACTCTACTTCACTCCAATCCTTTCCATTCCATTCTTTTCCTTTTCATTCCATTCCATTCCACTCCATTCCATTCCATTCCAGTCTATTGCATTCCACTCCACTCCACTGCACTCCAATCCATTCCACTCAACTCCAATCCATTCCATTTCCTTTCATTCCACTCCACTCCACTCCACTCCGTTGAATTCCATTCCTTCCCATTCCATTCCACTCAATTCCTCTTCACTCCATTCAATTCCATTCCACCACAATCCTTTCTACTCCATTCCACTCCACACCTCCTCATTTCACCACATGCCTTTTGAATCCATTTGATGCCATTCGATTCTGCTCTCTTTGATTCCATTCCTTTCGATTCCATTCCTCTCTATTCCATTCCATTCGATTCCATACCATTAGATTCCTTTCCTTTCGAGTCCATTCCATTCCAGTCCATTTCATTCCAGCCCATTCCATTCGAGTCCATTCCATTCCATTCCATTCCACTACACTCCATTCGATTCCATTCCATTCCATTCACTTCCACTGCATTCCATTCCACACCACTCCAATTTACTGCACTCCACTGCACTAAATTCCATTCCATTCCTCTCCACCATATTCCATTCCACTGCATTCCATTCCACTCCATTCCTTTTTAACCCACTCAACTCCACTCCATTTCACTCCACTCCACTCCATTCCATTCCATTGCATTCCATTACACTCCATTCCTCTCCTCCCCACTCCACTCCACTCCATTCCACTCCACTCCACTCCATTCCATTCCATTGCATTCCATCCCACACCACTCAACTCCATTCCATTCCATTCCCTTCCATTCCATTCCACTCCAGTCCATTCCATTTCACACCATTCCATTCCACTACATTCCACTCCACTCCACTACACTATATTCTACTCCACTCCACTCCGTTCCATTCCACTCCACTCAATTCCACTACAATCCACTCCACTCCAGTCTACTCCATTCCATTCCATTCCATTGCATTCCTCTCAACTCCACTGCACTTCTCTGCATTCCTTTGGATTCCATTCTATGCCATTCCATTCCACTCCATTTCATTCCATTTCATTTGATCCCATTCTATTTATCCCATTCCATTCAATTCCATTCCATTCGATTCCTTTCCCCTCGACTCCAATCCATTCCTGTCCATTCCATTCCAGTCCGTTCCTTTCCATTGCATTCCATTCGAGTCCATTCCATTCCATTCCATTCTATTCCATTCCAATCCTTTCCATTCCATTTCATTCCACTCTACTCCACACCATTACATTCTATTCCTTTCCTTTCCATTCTATTCCACTCCCCTCCGCTCCTCTCCACTGAAGTCCTTTCTACTCCATTCCAATCCACTCCATTCCATTATGTTACATTCCATTGCATTCCACTCTTTTCCACTCCACTCCTCTTCACACCAATCCATTGCATTCCAAGGCACTCCACTCCATTCAATTCTATTCCTTCCCATTCATTTCCATTCCACTCCATTAAACTCCACTCCACTGCATTCCATTCCATTTCACCCCATTCCTTTCCACTCCATTTCACTCCACTCCACTCCACTTCACCGCATTCCATTCCCCTCAATTCGATGACATTCAATTCCACTCTATTCAATTGCATTTCATTCGATTCCATTCCATTCGATTCCATTGTATTCAAGTCCATTCCATTGGATTCCATTCCTTTCGAGTCCATTCCATTCGATTCGATTCCATTCCATTCCATATCATTACACCGCACTCCATCCCACTCCACTTCACTCCACTCTATTCCTCTTCAATCCATTCTATTCTATTCCACTCCATTCCACTCCACTCCATTCCACTTGAGTCCATTCCATTCCACTCCACTCCATTCCACTCAACTCCACTCCACTTGAGTCCCTTCCATTCCACTCCACTCCAATACACTCCACTCCACTCCTCTCCTTTTAATTCCATTCGTTGCCTTTACATTCCATTCCACTGCATTCCACACCACACCACTCCATTCAATTCCATTCCACCCCATTTCATTTCACTCCATTCCACTCCACTCCACTCCACTTCACCGCATTCCATTCAATTCCATTCGATGCCATTCAAATCCTTTCCATTCGACTCCATTCCATTTGATTTCATTCCATTCGATTCCATTCCATTCTTTTCCATTCTTTTCGATTCCATTCCATGCAATTCCATTCAATTCGAGTCCATTCCATTCAAGTTGATTCCTTTCCAGTCCATTCCATTCCATTCCAGTCCATTTCACTCCGTTCCACTCCACTGCACTCCATTTCACTAAACTCCACTCCACTCAACTTCACCACATTCCTTTCGTTTCCTTTTGATGCCATTCTATTCCTTTCCATTCGGTTCCACTCCATTCGATTCCATTCCATTTGATTCAATTCGATCTGATTCCAATCCATTCGATTCCATTCCATTAGATTTTATTCCATCCAAGTCCATTCCGTTCCAGTCCATTCCATTCGAGTCCATTCCATTGGATTCCATTCCATTCCATTTGAATCCATTCCATTCAATACCATTCCATTCCAGTCCATTGCATTCGTGTCCATTCCTTTCCATTCCATTCCATTCTGTTCCATTCCATTCCACTCAACTCCACTCAACTGCACTCCATTCCATTCCATTCCATTGCGTTCCACTCCATTCCACTGAATTGCATGCATTTAATTCCATTCCTTCCCATTCCATTCCACTCCACTCCACTCCATTCCACTCCACTCCACTCCACCTCATTCCACTCCACTCCACTCCACCCCATTCAAATCCCTTCCACCACATTCTATTCCAGTCCACTCCACTCCACTTCAGCGCATTATATTCAATTTCATTCGATGCCATTCGACTCCCTTTCATTCGATTACATTCCATTGAATTCCATTTCATTCTTTTCAATTCCATCCAATTCCATTTCATTTGACTCCATTCCACTCGAGTACATTCCATTCCAGTCCTTTCCATTTGATTCCGTTCTTTTCCCCTCCATTCAATTCCATTCCTTCCCATTCCACTCCACTTGACTCCAATATGCTCCACAACACTCCACTCCATCCTATTCCATTCCATTCTATTCCACTCCCCTGCACTTCACTCCACTCCATTCCTTTCCATTGCACTCCACCCCATTCCACTGCACTCCACAACGTTCAACCCCATTCCATTCAACTCCACTCCACTCCATTCCAATCCAGTCCACTCCTCTGCATTCCATAACACTCTATTGCATTCCACTCTACTCCACTCCATTTCACTGCACTCCACTCCACTCTATCGTTTTACACTCCACTCCATTCAATTCCCTCCCTTCCCATTCCAATTAATTCCACTCTATTCCAGTCCACTCCACTCCACTCCGTTCAATTCCATTCCCCCCATTCATTTCCAATCTATTCCTTTCCACTCCACTTCACTGCATTCCATTTGATTCAAGGCGAATCCATTCGATTCCATTCCACTCAATTCCATTCCATTCGATTCCATTCCATTTGATTCCATTCCATTTGAGTCCATTCCATTCCAGTCCATTCGATTCGATTCCATACCTTTTCACTGCATTCTATTCCTGTCATTTCCATTTCAGTCCATTTCATTCGACTCCATTAGATTCGATTCCACTCCATTCCATTCCATTGCATTCCATGCCACTCCATTCCACTCCATTCCATTCCATTCCGTTTTCTTCCATTATTATACCCTCAACTCCATTCCATTCCTATCCATTCCATTCCCTTCCATTCCACTCCACTCCACTCCATTCCATTCCATTCCATTCCATTCTTCTCCACTCCAATTCACTCCACTCCACTTCACGCCTCTCCATTTCATTCCATTCCATTCCATTCCACTGCACTCGCCTGCATTCCATTCCATTCCATTCCACTCCATGCCATGCCATTCCATTCCATTCCACTTCATTCCCTTACTTTCCATTCCACTCCATTCTAATCCACTCCTCTCCACTCCACTCCACTCCATTCGACTGTACTATCTTCCATTCCATTCCATTGCATTCCACTCCACTACATTCCACTCCACTCCACACTGTTCAATTACAACCTTCCCTTTCCGTTCCTTTTTATTACATTCCACTCCAATCCACTCCACTCCACTCCATTCACTTCCATTCCTCCCTATTCAAATCCACTCCATTCCACTGCACTCCACTCCACTTCACCACATTCTATTCGATTCCATTTGATGCCATTCCATTCCATTCCACTGGATTCCGTTCCATTCCAGTCGATTCCATTCCATTTGATTCCGGTCCATTCGAGTCCATTCCATTAGAGTCCATTACATTCCAGTCCATTCTGTTCGAGTCCATTCCATTCCAGTCCATTCCACTCGAGTCCATTCCATTCGAGTCTATTCCATTCCTTTCCATTATATTGCATTCCCCTCCATTCCACTGCACTCCAGTCCACTCCACTCCTTTCCATTCCATTACATTCCACTCCAATCAACTCCTGTCCAATCCACTCCATTCCATTCCATTGCATTTCACTACACTCTATTCCATTCCACTCCATTCCACTCCACTCCACTCCATTCAATTCCATTCCACCGCATTCCATTCCACTCCATTGCACTCCACTCCACTCCCCTTCACCTCAATCCATTCCATGCCATTCGATTCCATTCCATTCGACACCATTGCATTCGATTTCATTGCTTTCTAATCCTTTCCATTCGATACCATGTATTCGATTTCTTTGCTCTTGAATCCATTCCTTTTGATTCCATTCCACTCGTTTCCATTCCATTCAAGTTCATTCCTTTCAACTCTATTCCATTGGAGTCCATTCCATTCCAATCCTTTCCATTGGAGTCCATTCCATTCGAATCCATTCCATTCCAGTCCATTCCATTCCATTCCATTCCATTTGAGTCCATTCAATTCCATTCCATTCCATTTCATTCGAATCCATTCCATTGGAGTCCATTCCATTCTTCTCCATTGCATTCCAGTCGTTTCCATTCCATTCCATTCCATTCCACTCCACTCCACTCAACTCCATTCCACTCCATTCAATTGCAATCCAGTCCAATCCACTCCACTCCATTCCATTCAAATTCATTCCTTCCCATTAAATTCCATTCCACTCCATTCAACTCCACTGCACTCCACTCCATTCAATTCCCTTTCACCACATTCAATTCCACTCCATTCCACTCCATTGCACTCCATTCCACTCCACTTCACTTCACTGCAGTCCATTCGATTCCATTCGATGCCATTTGATTCCATTCCTTTCGATTCCATTCCATTCAATTCCATTCCATTCGATTTCATTCCATTCGATTCTATTCCATTTGAGTCCATTCCTTTCGAGTCTATTCCATTTGATTCCAATGCATTCCAGTCCATTCCATTTGAGTCCATTCAATTCTATTCGAGTCCATTCCATTCCATTCCATTCCATTCCATTCCATTCCATTCCACTCCACTCCATTCCACTTGACTTTGTTCCATTCCATTCCACTACATTCCACTCTATTGCATTCCACTCCACTACAATCAATTCCATTCCATTGCAATCCATTTCATTCCATTCCTTTCCACTCCACTCCACTGCAGTACACTCGACTCCACTCCTCACCACTCCATTCCATTCCATTCCATTCCTTTCCATTCCATTTTACTCTGCTCCTATCCATTCCACTCCTTTCTACTCTATTCTCTCCCATTCCATTCCATTCCACTCCATGCCATTCCATTCCTTTCCATTCCATTCCACTCCATTACACTCCAATCCACTCCACTGCAATCCACTCCCCTCCACTCCATTCCATTCCATTCCATTCTATTCCATTTCATTCCTTTGCATTCCATTCCACTCCAATCCACTCCACTTCACTGTGTTCAATTCCATTCCTACCCATTCCACTCCATTTCACTCTATTCCACTCCACTCCACTCCACTTCACAGCATTTTATGCGATTCCATTCAATGCCATTTGATTCCATACCATTCGATTCCAGTGCATTTGATTCCATTCCGTTCAATTCCACTATATTTGATTCCATACCATTTGATTCCATTCCCTTACATTCCATTCCATTCGTGTCCATTCCATTCCAGTCCATTCCATTCGAGTCCACTCAATTTGAGTCCATTCCATTCCATTCCATGCCATTAATTTCCAGTCCATTCTATTCATTTCCACTCAATTTTACTCCACTCCTTTTCATTCCATTCCTGTCTGTTCCATTCCATTCCATTCCACTCCATTAAACTGCACTCCACTCTACTCCACTCCACTGCACTCCACTCTACTCTTGTCAATTCCATTCTTTCCCAATACATTCCATTCCACTCCATTCCACTGACCACCACTCCACTCCATTCAATTCCATTCCAATCCATTCCATTCCACTCCATTCTGCTCCACTCCTCTCCACTTCATTGCATTCCATTTGACTCGATTCGATGCCATTTGATTCCATTCCATTCATTTCCACTTCACTCGATTTCATTACGTTACATTCCATTCGATTCAATTCCATTCCATTCAATTCCATTCCATTTGAGGCCATTCGATTCAAGTCCATTCCATTCGAGTCCATTCCTTGCTATTCCATTTCCGTCCTGTAAATTCTATTTGATTCCATTCCATTCCTTTCCATTCCACTCCTCTCCTTTCCATTCCACTCCCCTCCATTCTACTCTTTTCCATTCCATTCCACTCTATTCCATTCCATTCCACTCAACTCCACTCCACTCCAATCCACAACACTCAATTCCATTCCATTCCATTGCATACCACTCCACTCCACTCCTCTCAACTCCACTCCACTCCATTGAATTCCATTCCTTCCCATTCCATTCCACTCCACTCCACTCCATTCCACTCCACTTCATTCCACTCTATTCCACTCCATTCCATTCCATTACATTCTTTCCACTCCATTCCACTCCACTACTTTCAATTACATTTTTTCCCATTCCATTGCATTCCACTCCATTACACTCCACTCCACTCCACTCCAATCAATTCCAATCCATTCCACTCCATTCCATTCCTCTCCATTCCGTTCCATTCCCTTCCACTTCATTCCACTCCATTCCACTCCACTCCAATACAGTGCATTCCATTCCATTCCATTCCATTTCCTTCAATTCAATTCCACTCCATTTCATTCCATACCTTTCAATTCCATTTCACTATATTCTTCTCCACTCCACTCCATTCCATTCTGTTCCTTTGCATTCCACTTACCTGGTTTCCATTCCCATCCATTCAATTCCATTCCACCCCATTCCTTGCCACTACTTTCCACTCCACTCCACTTGTTTCCATTTGATTCCATTGGAAGCCATTCCATGCGATGCCTCTTTCCAGTTGATTCCATTTGATGCCATTCGATGCCATTCCATTTGATTCCATTTCACTCAATTCAATTCCATATGATTCCATTTCATAAGAGTCTATTCCATTCGAGGACATTCCATTCGAGTGCATTCCTTTTTAGTCCATTACATTCCTGTCCATAACATTCGATTCCATTTCATTCCATTCCATTCCATTCCACTCCACTCCAATCCATTCTATTCCATTCCATTGCATTCCACCGCATTCCACTCCACTCCGTTCAATTCCATTCAATCCAATTCAATTTCATTTCACTCCATTCCACTCCACTCCACTAAATTCTATTCCATTCCACTCCACTCCACTCCATTTCACTTCATTGCATTCCACTCCACTCCACTCCAATCCATTCCACTGCACTCCACTCCACATCTCTCCACTCCACTCCATTCCATTCAATTCCACTATTTCCACCCCATTCCATTCCACTCCACTCCATTCCATTCCATTCCAATCCACTGGATTCCATTCTTTGCATATTACTCCATTCCACTCCACTCAACTCAACTCGGTTCAATTCTATTCCTTACCATTCCATTCTATTCAAATTCATTTGACACCACTCCGCTCTGCTGCATTCAATTCCATTCCACTCCATTCCACTCGACTCCACTCCACTTCATCGCATTCCACTGTATTCTCTTTGATGCTATTCTATTCCGTTGCATTCGACTCCATTCCATTCTATTCCATTCCATTCTCATCCATTCCATGCGAGTCCCTTCTATTTGATTCCATACAATTCGAGTCCATTACATGCGAGTTCATTCCTTTCGAGTTCATTCCATTCAAATCCATTCCATCCAAGTCCATTATATTCCAGTCCATTCCATTCCAGTCCACTCCCTTCAAGTGCATTCCATCGAGTCCATTCCATTCGAGCCCATTCCTTTCCAGACCATTTCATTCCAGTCCATTACATTCGAATCCATTCCATTCCATTCCTTTCAAATCCATTCCATTCCATTCTATTCCATTGCATACTACTCCACTCCACACAACTCCACTCTACTCCATTCCATTGCATTGCTTTCCACTCCTTTTCATTCCACTCCAATCCGTTCAATTCCACTCCTTCCAATTCCATTCCATTCCAACCCATTCCAATGCACTCCACTCCACTCAATTCCATTCTACCTCATTCCATTCCACTGCGTTTCAATCCACTCCACTCCACTTCACCGCATTCCATTTGATTCCATTTGATGCCATTCGATTCCCTTCCATTCGATTCCATACAATTCAATTCTATTCCACTCAATTCCATTCAATTGCATTCCATTCCATTCCCTTCCATTCAAGTCCATTCCATTCCAGTCCCTTCCATTCCATTCCATTCCCTTCCATTCCATTCCATTCCACTCCATTCCACTCCACTCCATACCACTCTGGTGCATTCCATTAAATTCGACTCAATTCCACACCATTTAATTCAATTCCATTCCATTCCAGTCCATTCCTCTCCACTACACTACACTTTATTCACCTCCACTCCACTCCATTCCATTCAATTCCTTTGCATTCCACTCCATTCCACTCCACTCCATTCAATTCCAGTCCTCATTCCATTCCATTCCAATCGATTCCACTCCACCCCATTCCATTCCATTCCACTCCAGTCCATTCCATTCCACTTCATTCCATTCCACTCCACTCCACTCCACTCAGTTCAATTCTATTCCTTCCAATTCAATTGCATTCCATTCCATTCCATTCCATTCCATTCCATTCCATTCCATTCCATTCCATTCCACTCAATTCCATTCCATTCAATTCCCTTCCACTCCACTCCAGTCCACTCCACTTCATCGCATTCCATTCAATTCCATTCGATGCCATTTGATTCCATTCCCTTTGATTCCATTCCATTATAGTCCATTCAATTCGATTCCCTTCCATTCGAGTTCATTGCATTCGAGTCCATTCCACTCCATTCCATTGTATTCCATTCCAATCATTTCCATTCCCTTCCAGTACATTCCAGTCGAGTCCATTTTATTAGAGTCCATTTCATTCCATTCCATTCCAGTCCATTCCACTCAATTCCATTCCTTTCCATTCCATTCCATTCCATTTTACTCCATTGCAATCCACTCCACTCCACTACCTTCCATTCCTTTCCATTGGATACTACTCTCCACTCCACTCCATCCAATTAAATTTCTTCCCATTCCGTTCCATTCCACTCTATTCCACTACACTTCACTCCATTCAATTCCCTTCTGCGCCATACCATTCCACTCCGGTCCACTAAACTCCAATTCATCGCATTCCTTCCTATTCCGTTTGATGCTATTCGATTCCTTTCCTTTCTATTCCATTCCATTTGATTCGATTCCATTCAATTCCTTTCCATTCAATTTCATTACTTTGGAGAACTTCCATTTTTGTCCATCCCAATCGAGTGCATTCCATTCCAGTCCGTTCCATTCCAGTAAATTCCATTTCAGTCCATTCCATTTGAGTCCATTCCATTCCATTCCAATCCATTCCAATCTCTTCCATTCCATTCCACTCCACTCCACTCCACTCCACTCCAATTTATTCCATTACATTGCATTCCACTCCACTCCACTCCAATCCATTCCTTTCCTTTCCATTGCATTCCACTCCACTCCACTCCACTCTGTTCAATATCATTCCTTTTCATTGCATTCCATTCCACTCCACTCCACTCCACTGCACTCCACTCCAATAAATTTCTTTCAACCCCATTCAACTCTGTTCCAGTCCACTCCACCCCACTCCCCTTCACCATTTACCATTCGAATCCAGTCGATGCCATGCTGTTCCATTCTGTTGGTTTTAATTCCATTCATTTCCATTCCATTTGATCCCATTCCATTCGATTCCACTCCATTCCCTTTGAGTCCATTCCATTCCAGTTCATTTCATTCGATTCCATTCCATCTGAGTCATTCCATTCCATTCCATTCCATTCCATTCCATTCCATTCCATTCCACTTCACCCCACTCCATTCCATCCACTCCACTTCACTCCACTCCATTCTATTCCACTCCAATGCATTCCACTTCATTTCACTCTACTCCATTCCATTCTATTCTATTCTATTCCACCACCACTACATTCCATTACACTGCATTCGATTCCACTGCATTTCTTTCCACTCCATTCTATTCCATTCACATGCATTACACTTCACTTCAATCCACTCCACTCCCCTCCACTCGACTCCACTCCATTCCATACCATTCCATTGCATTCCAATCCACTGCACTCCACTGCATTTAATTCCATTCCTTCCCATTCCATTCCACTCCACTTCAGTCCATTTAATTCCATTCCATCACTTTCCATTCCAATCCACTGCACTCCAATCCACTACACTCCACTTCACCACATTCCATTCAATGCCATTCGATTCCATTCTATTCCATTCCATTCCATTCCATTCCATCCACTACCATTCCATCCGATTCCATTCTGTTTGATTACACTCCATTCAATTACATTCCATTCGATTCCATTCTGTTCGAGTCCATTCCATTCAAGTGCATTCTATTCGACTCCATTCCATTCGAGGACATCCCATTCCAGTTCATTCCATTCAAGTCCATCCAATTCGTGTCCATTCCATTCCATTCCATTCTACTCCATTCCATTCCACTCCAATGCATTCCATTAAACTCCACACCACTCCACTCCATTCCATTCCATTCTGCTCCATTCAACTCCATTCTTCTCCACTCCACTCAACTCCACACCACTCCACTCCACTACATTCCCCTCCACTCCACTCCCCTCCATTCCATTCCATTCCACTCTATTCCATTCTACTCCACTCCACTCCACTCTATTCCACGCCCCTCCTTTCCATTCCATTCGATTCCACTCCATTCCACTCCACTCCACTCCACTTGAGTCATTTCCATCCCACTCCACTCCATTCCATTACACTCCACTCCACGACTCTATACTCGACTCCATTCCACTCCACTCCACTCCACTCCATTATATTCCAGTCCTGGGCATTCCAATACACTCCTCTCAACTGTACTCCACTACAATCCATTGCATTCAATTGCACTCCAATGCACTTCACTCCACTCCACTCCATTGAATTCCATTCCATCCATTCCATTCCATTCCACTCCACTCCATTCCGTTCAATTCCATTCCTTCCCATTCCATTGCATTCCATTCCATTATATTCCATTCCATTCCACTCAATTCCATTTCATTCAATTCCATTCCACTCCACTCGACTCCTCTCCACTCAATTCCACTCCACGCTACTCCACTTCACTCCATTCCACGCCAGTCCACTCTGCTCTACTCCACTCTACCCCATTCTATTCCATTTCATTGCCTTCAACTCCACTCCACTGCACTCCACTGCACTCCGTTCAATTCCATTCCTTCCCATTCCATTCCATCCCACTCCATTCCACTACACTCCATTCCAGTATATTCAATTCCATTCTAACCCATTCCATCACACTCCATTCCACAACTCTCCACTCCACTTCATCACATTCCATTTGCTTCCATTCGAGGCCATTCGATTCCATTCCATTCGATTACATTTGATGCCTTTCAATTCCATTCCATTCCAACTCAATTCCATTCGATTCCATACCTTTCAATTCCATCCCATTCGATTCGATTCCATTCCATTCCATTCAAATCCATTTGAGTCCAATCAATTCAAGTCCATTCCATTCCACTCTCTTCCATTCCATTCCATTCTATTCCATTCCATTCTATTCCACTCCACTCCATTCTACTGCACTCCACTCCACTCCTCTCCACTCCACTGCATTGCTTTCCATCACATTGCATTTGATTCAATTGCTCTCCATTCCATTCCATTCCATTCCATTCCATTCCATTCCATTCCATTCCATTTCATTCCATTCCTCTCCATTCCTCACCACTGCACTACAGTTTACTCCTCTCCACTCCACTCCACTACATTCCATTCCTTTGCATTCCACTCCACTCCACTACATTCAATTCCATTCATTCCCATTCCATTCCATTCCACTCCATTCGACTGCACTGCAATCCACTCGATTCAATTGCATTCCAAAAAATTTCATTCCAATCCATTCCACTCCATTCCACTCCAATCTTTTCCATTCCATTCCACTCGACACCATTCCATTCCACTCCACTCAACTCCACTCCATTCTTCTCCACTCCACTCCACTACAATCCACTACACTCCAATCCAATCCATGTCCTTCCATTCCATTCCATTGCATTCCACTCCACTACATTCAATTCAATTCCATTCCACCCCATTCCATTCCACTACATTCCACTCCACTCCATTCAATTCAATTCATTCCCATTCCATTCCATTCCATTCCATGACATTGCAGCCACTCTATGCCACTTCACTGCATTCCATTTAATTCCATTAGATTCCATTCGTTCCCATTCCTTTCAAATCCATTCCATTAATTTCCATTCCTTTCTATTCCATTCCATTCGATTACATTCCACTTAAGTCCATTCTATTCGTGTCCATTTCATTCTAGTCCATTTTATTCCATTCCTTTCTACTCCACTCCACTACAGTTTACTCCACTCCACTCCACTCCATTCCATTCCTTTGCATTCCACTCCAATCCACTCCACTCCACTCCAATCAATTCCATTCATTCCCATTCCATTCCATACCACTCCATTCCACCCCACTCCAATCCACTCCATTCAATTGCATTCCACCAAATTCCATTCCACTCCATTCCACTCCACTCCACTTCTCCACATTCCATTCAATTCCATTCGATGCCATTCGATTCCATTCCTTTCGAATCCATTCTATTCAATTAATTCAATTTGATTCCATTTCATTTGATTCTATTCCATTCCAGTCCATTCCATTCGTGTCCATTCCATACCATTCCATTCCATTCCACTCCACACCACCCCACCCCACTCCACTCCACTCCACACCATTCAATTCCATTCCATTGCATTCCATTCCACTCCTCTCCACTCCACTACATTAAGTTCCATTCCATTCCATTCCATTACAATACACTCCATTCCACTCCCCTCCACTACATTCCAGTCCTTTCCACTCCACTCCATTCCATTTCATTCAATTCCACTCCACTCCTCTCCACTCCACCTCACTCCATTCCACTCCACTGCACTACACACCACTCCACTCCATTCCATTCCATTCTATAGCATTCAACTCCTCTCCACTCCAATCAGTTAAATTCCTCTCCTGTCAACCACATTCCATTCCCCTCCATTCCATTCCATTCCACTCACTCCATTCCATTCCAATCCACTCCATTCAATTCCTTTCCTATCCCTTACATTCCATTCCATTTAATTTCTTTGCACTCCATTCCACTCCATTCCACTCCATTTCTTTACATTCCATTTTATTACATTCCACTTGACACCATTCAATTCCACTCCCCTACACTCCACTTCACTCCTGTACAGTCCACTACACTCCAATCCAATCCATGCCATTCCAATCCATTCCATTGCGTTCCTCTCCCATCCATTCAATTCAATTCCATTCCACCCGATTCCATTCCACTCCATTCCAATCCATTACACAACACTCCATTCAATTCCATTCCTTCCCACTCTATTCCATTCCACTTCATTCCACTCCACTCCACTCCACGCCACTTCACTGTATTCCATTGAATTGCATTCGATTCCCTTCGATTCCATTCCTTTCAAATGATTCCATTCAATTCCATTCGATTCAATTCCATTCCATTCGATTCTATTCCACTCAAGTCCATTCCATTCGTGTCCATTCCATTCCAGTCCATTCTATTCCATTCTGTTCCACTCCACTTCCCTGCACTCCTCTCCATTCAATTCCATTCCATTGAATTCCTCTCCACTCCACTCCACTGCGTTTAATTTTTTTCCATTCCATTCCATTCCACTCAATTCTACTCCCGTTTACTCATTCCATTCCATTCCACTCCACCACATTCTATTTCATTCCATTCCACTCCACTCCACTACAATCCATTCCACTCCACTCCACTTTACTCCTTTCCACTCGACTCCATTCCATTATATTCCATAGCATTCCACTCCACTCCACACCACTCCGTTAAATTCCAATCCTGTCAACCCTATTCCATTCCCCTCAATTCCATTCCATTCCACTCATCTCCATTCCATTCCATTCCATTCGAATCCACTCCATTCCATTCCACTCCACTCCATTCCATTCCATTCCATAAGATTCCACTCCACTCCACTCCATTCCATTCCATTCAATTCCTTTCCACTGCATTCCACTCCATTCCACTGCATTCCATTCCATTCCATTTCATTTCATACCACTCGACACCATTCCATTCCACTCCACTCCACTCCACTGCACTCCATTCCACTCTACTCCACTACAATCCACTGCACTCCAATCCAATCCACACCATTCCATTCCATTCCATTTCATTCCTCTCCACTCCACTCAGTTCAATTCCATTCCACCTCATTCCATTCCACTCCATTCCACTGCATTCCACTCCACTCCCTTCAATTCCATTCCTTCCCATTCCTTTCCATTCCACTGCATTCCACTCCATTCTACGCCACTTTACCGCATTCCATTGAATTCCATTCGATTCCCTTCTGTTCTTTTCGTTTCACATCAATTCCATTCAATTCCATTCCATTCAATTTCATTCCTTTCGATTCCATTCCACTCAAGTCCATTCTATTCGTGTCCATTCCATTCCAGTCCATTCTACTCGATTCCATTCCACTCCCCTCCACTACACTCCAGTCTTCTCCATTCAATTCCATTCCATTGCCTTCCACTCCACTCCGTTCAATTCCATACCATTCCATTCCACTCCATTCCACTCCCATCCACTCCATTCCATTCCATTCCACCCACCATATTCCAATTCATCCCATTCCACTCCACTCCACCATATTCCATTTCATCCCATTCCACTCCACTCCATTCCACTCCATTCCACTCCACTCCAATTCACTGCTTTCCACTCCACTCCATTCCATTACATTCCATAGCATTCCACTCCACTCCCCTACACTCCACTCCACTCTGTTAAATTCCATTCCTTTCCACTCCATTCCATTCCCCTCCAATACTTTCCATTCCACTACGTTACATTCCATTCCACTCCTTTCCATTCCATCCCATTCCAATCCATTCCATTCCATTCCATTCCATTGCATTCCATTCCATTTATTTCAACTCCATTCCATTCCATTCCACTACATTCCATTCCATTCTATTCCATTACATTCCACTAGACTCCATTCCTTTCCACTCCACTCCACTCCACTCCACTCCACTCCCTTCCACTCCACTCCACTCTACTACACTCAACTCCAATCCATGCTGTTCCCTTCCATTCCATTGCATTCTGCTCCACTCCACTCCACTCCATTCAATTCCATTGCACACCATTCCATTCCAATGCACTGCACTCCAATTAACCACATTCCATTCCATTCTGTTTGATGCCATTTGATTCCTTTCCATTTGATTCCATTTCATTCAATTCCGTTCCATTCTATTCCATTCCATTTGATTCCATTGCATTCGAGTCCATTCCATTCGAGTCCATTCCATTGATGTCCGTTCCATTCTAGTCCATTCCTTTCCTGTGCATTCCATTCCACTCCACTCTACTCCACTCCACTCCACTACACTACACTCCATTCCACTACTCTCCACTCCACTCTACTCCACTCAACTCCAATCCATGCTGGTCCATTCCATTCCATTGCATTCTGCTCCACTCCACTCCACTCCAATCAATTCCATTCCACCTCATTCCATTCCACTGCATTCCAATTCATTGCACTCCAATTAACCACATTCCATTCCCTTCCACTCGTTGCCTTCCGATTCCTTTCCATTTGATTCCATTTTATTCAATTCAGTGCCATTTGATTCCACTCCGTTTGATTACATTGCATTCGAGTCCATACCATTCGCGTCCATTCCATTCAATTCCGTTCCATTCGAGTCCTTTCCATTCCAGTCCATTCCATTCCATTCCTTTGCACTCCTTACCATTCCTTTGCATTCCACTCCTCTCCGCTCCACTCAACTCCACTCAGTTCAATTCCATTCCTTCCCATTCCATTCCATCCCACTCTATTGCACTCCAGTGCACTCCACTGCATTCCTTTCCATTCCACCCCATTCCAATCCACTCAATTACACTCCTCTCCACTCCACTTCACTGCATAACACTGGATTCCATTCGACGCCTTTCCATATTATTTCATTTGATTCCATTCCATTCGATTCCATTCAGTACGATTCCTTTCCATTCTACTCCATTACATTCGAGTTCATTCCTTTTGAGTCCATTCCATTCCAGTCCATTCCATTCGGGTCCATTCCATTCCAGTCCATTCCCTTGCAGTCCATTCCGTTTGAGTTCATTCCATTCCATTCCATTCCATTCCATTCCATTCCATTCTATTTAATTCCACTCCAATCCACTCCACTCCACTCCATTCCATTCCATTTCATTCTATTGCATTCCAATCCACTCCTCTCCACTCAAGTCTGTTCAATTCCATTCCTTCCCCTCCATTCAATTCCACTCCATTCCACTCCACTCTGCCCCACTCAATTCAATTCCATTCCACCCCATTCCATTCCACTGCATTTCACTCCACTCCACTTCACCGCATTCCATTCGATTCCATTTGATGCCATTCGATTCCATTGCATTCAATTCCATTCCATACGATTCCATTCCATTCCAGTCAAATCCATTCGAGTCCATTCCATTTTGCATCCCTTCCATTCCAGTCAATTCCATTGGTATCCATTCAATTCGATTCCATTCCATTTGATTCCATTCCTTTCGAATCCATTCCATTCAATTCCATTCTGCTCGAATCCATTCCATTCAATTCCATTCCATTCGAGTCCATTACACTCCACTCCATTCCATTCCAGTCCATTAAATTCCAGTCCAATCCATTCTAATTCATTCCATTCCATAACCTTTCCATTCCATTCCATTACATTCAATTCCATTCCATTCGTGTCCAGTCCATTCTAGTCCATTCCATACCAGTCCATTCCACTCGAATCCATTCCATTCGTTTCCATTCCATTTGATTTCTTTCCATTCGAATCCATTCCATTCCAGTCGATTCCATTACAGTCCATTCCATTCCATTGGAATCCATTCCATTCCTTTCCATTCCATTCCATTGCATTCCAATTCCCTACACTCCATTCCATTCCATTCCATTCCATTCCATTCCATTCCATTCCATTTAACTGCTGTCCACTCCACTCTACTCCACTGCATTCCATTCCATTCCATTCCATTTAACTGCAGTCCACTCCACTCTACTCCACTGCATTCCATTCCATTCCATTCCATTCGATTCAATTGCACTCCATTCCTTTCCATTCCATACCATTCCACTCCATTCCTCTCCACTCCACTAGAATTTACTCCACTCCCCTACACTCCATTCCATTCCATTCTTTTGCATTCCGCTCCACTCGCCTCCACTCCATTCAATTACATTCATTCCCATTCCATTCCTTTCCTGTCCATTCAAAACCACTCCACTCCATTCAATTGCATTCCGCCAAATTCCATTACACTCAATTCCACTCCACTCCACTTCACCACATTCCATTCGATTCCATTTGATCCCATTCAATTCCGTTCCTTTCAAATCCATTCCATTCTATTAATTCCATCCCATTCCCTTCCATTTGATTCCATTCCATTCAAATCCATTCCATTAGATTCCATTCCATTCCATTCCATTCCATTGCATTCCATTCGACTCCACTCCACTCCATTCAATTCCATTCCATTGCATTCCACTCCACTCCACTTCACTCCGTTAAATTCCATTCCATTCCATTCCATTACATTGCACTCCATTACACTCTCCTCTACTCTATTCCAATCGATTCCACTCAACTCCATTCCATTTAATGTCATTCAACTCCACTCCTCTCCACTCTTCTCCACTCCATTCCACTCCAGTCCTCTCCACTCCTTTCCACTCCAATCCATTCCACTCCATTCCACTCCACTACAGTCCACTACCCTCCAATCCAATCCATGCCATTCCATTCCATTCCATTGCTTTCCACTCCACTCCTCTCCACTCCATTCAATACCATTCTATCCCATTCCATTCCATTGCATTTCACTCCACTCCACTCAACTTCACCGCATTCCATTCGATTCCATTCAATGCCATTCGATTCCATTCCATTCTATTCCATTGAATCCGAGTCCATTCCATTCCAGTCCAATCCATTCTAGTCCATTCCATTCACGTCCATTCCATTCCATTCCATTCCTTTCGTGTCCATTTCATTTGATTCCATTTCATTTAATTCAATTCCATTTGATTCCATTCCATTCGATTACATTACATTCGATTACATTCCATTCTATTCCCTTGTATTTGATTACATCCCATTTGATTCCATACCATTCGATTAAGTTCCATTCAAAACCATTCCATTCCATTCCACTCCATTCCATTCCATTAAACTCCGCTCCACTAAAATGCAATCTACTCCACTCCTCTCCATTCCATTGCACTCCACTCCAAGCCCCTCCACTTCATTCCATTCCATTCCATTGCCCTCCACTCCATTCAATTCCATTCCTTCCCATTCAATTCCATTCCATTCCACTCCATTCCGCTCCACTCCACTCCACTGCTTTTATTTCCATTCCATTGTATTCCATTCCGCTCCATTCCATTCCACTCCACACAACTCCACTCCAATCCATTCCATTCCATTCCGTTGCATTCCACTCCACTCCATTCCACTCCATTCCATTCTCTTCCTTCCGATTCCATTCCCTCCCGTTCCGTTCCATTCCACTCCATTCCTTTCCACTGCACTCCACTCCATTCAATACAATTCCACCCCATTCCATTCCACTCCATCCCAGTCCACTCCACTCCACTTCACCACATTCCATTCGATTATATTAAATGCCATTCGATTACATTCCTTTTGATTCCATTCCATTCAATTCCTTTCTATTCGGGTCCATTGCATTCGAGTCCATTCCGTTCAAGTCCATTGTATTCGTGTCCATTCCATTCCATTCCATTCCATTCCATTCCATTCCATTCCATTCAATTCCACTCCATAACACTCCCTGCACTCCTCTGCACTCCACTTTTCTGCACTCCATTCCATTCCATTCCTTTCCAACCCATTCCATTCCAATCCACTCCATTCCATTCTATTCCACTCCACTCCATTAAATTCCATTCCATTCCATTATATTCCATTCCATTCCATTCCATTCCCTTCCATTCCAATCCACTGCATTCCATTCCATTCCACTCGACTCCATTCCATTCCACTCCACTCCACTCCAGTCCACTCCATTCCACTCCATTCCATTACTTTGCATTGCATTCCATTGCATTTTATTCTGCTCTACTCCATTCCACTCCATTCCATTCCAATCTGATCCACTCCACTCCACTCAACTCAAGTCCACTCCAATCCATTCCATTCCATTCCATTGCATTCCACTCCACTCCACTCTGTTCACTTCCTTTCCTTCCCATTACATTCCTTTCCACTACATTCAACTCCACTCCACTCCCTTCAGTTCCACTGAACACCATTCCATTCCACTCTACTCCACTTCATTTGACCATATTCCATTCGATTTCATTCCATGCCATTTGATTACTTTCCATTCGATTCCATTCCACTCGATTCCATTCCTTTAGATTCCATTACATTCAATTCCATTGCGTTTGATTCCAGTCCGTTAGATTCCATTCCATTCGATTCCATTCCATTGGATGCTTTTCCATTCGATTCCAATCTCTAGGTTTCCATTCAATTCGAGACCATTACATTCGAGTCCATTCCTTTTGAGTCCATTCCTTTCGAGTCCACTCAATTGGATTACGTGCCATTCGAGTCCATTCGATTAGACTCCATTCCATTCCAGTCTATTCCATTTCAATCCATTCCATGCCATTCTTTTCCATTCCATTCCATTCCACTCGGTTCCACCCCACTCCACTCCACTCCATTCCTTTCCATTCCATTCCAGTGCATTCGTCTCCACCCCACTCCACTCATCTCTACTCCAATCAATTCCATTCCTTTCCATTCCATTCCGTTCCACTCCATTCCACTCCACTTCACTTCACTCCATTAAATTCCTTTCCACCCCATTCCATTCCACTCCCTTCCACTCCAATTAACTCCAGTTCACTAAGTCCATTTGATTCCATTCGATGCCTTTTGATTACATTGCGTTAGATTCCATTCCACTCTTTTTCATTGCGTTCGATTCCATTCCATTCGAGTCCATTCCTTTCCAGCCCATTCCATTCCACTCCATTACATCACACTTCGTTTCATCCAAGCCCATTCTATTCGAGTCCATTCCATTTTATTCCATTCTAGTGCATTCCAATCCAGTCCACTCCTCTTCATTCCATTCCATTCCACTCCATTCCATTACACTCCATTCCACTCCACTACACTCCATTCCATAGCATTCCATTCCCTTCCATTCCTTTCGGTTCCATTCCATTCCACTCCACTTCATTCCATTCCATTCCATTCCATTGCAGTCCATTCCACTCCATTCCACTCCACTCCATTCCGTTCACTTCCACGCCTTCCCATTCCATTACATTCTACTCCACTCCACTAGAATCCAAGCTACTACATTCAGTTGCGTTCCACATGATTCCATTCCACTCAATTCCACTCCACTCCACTCCACCTCACCACATTCTATTTGGTCCCATTCGATGCCATTCGTGGCCATTCGATTCTATTACATTTGATTCCATTCCATTCGATTCCATTCCATTCGATTCCTTTCCATTCGATTCTATTCCATCCGATTCCACTCCATTTGAGTCCATTCCATTCCAATACATTCCATTCGAGTCCATTCCATTCGAGTCCATTCAATTAATGTACACTATATTCCAGTCCATTCCATTTGAGTCTTTTCCATTTGAGTCCATGCCATTCCATTCCATTCCACTCCAAACCACTCCATTCCACTCCACTACACTCAACTCCATTCAACTCCACTCCACTCCAGTCCACTACACTCCACTCCATTCCCTTCCTTTCCATTCCATTCCATTCAATTCCATTCCATTCCTTTCCACTCCATTCCATTCCATTCCATTCCACTCGACTGCATTCCATTCCACTCCACTTCACTCCACTCCTTTCCACTCCTTTCCCCTCCACTACAATCCACTACACTGCAGTCCAATTGACGCCATTCCAGTACATTCCATTGCATTCCACTCCACTCCGCTCCACTCCATTCAATTCCATTCCACCACATTCCATTCCACTGCATTTCCCTCCACTCCACTCCACTCCACTTCATCATATTCCATTCGATTCCATTCAATGCCATTCAATTCCATTCGTTTCTATTGCATTCCATCCGAGTCCATTCCATTCCAGTCCGATCCATTCGAGTGCATTACTTTTGCGTCCATTCCAATCCAGTATATTCCATTCGAATCCATTCCATTCGATTCCGTTCCGTTCGACTCCATTGCATTTGAATCTATTCCATTCGATTCTATTCCGTTCGAAACCATTCCATTCTATTCCATTACATTCCAGTCCATTCTATCCCAATCCATTAAATTCCAGTCCCTTCCATTTGAATCCATGCCATTCCATTCCATTCAATTCCATTCTATTCGTGTGCCATCCATTTGAGTCCATTCCATTCCAGTCCATTCCATTCGAATCCATTCAATTCGATTCCATTCCGTTCGTTTCCTTTCCATTTGATTCCATTCCATTAGAGTCCATTCCATTCCAGTCCATTAAATTCCAGTCCATTCCATTCGAATCCATTCCATTCAATTACATTACATTCCACTCCCCTACACTCCCCTCTACTACATTCCATTCCATTCCATTTCATCGCATTCCTCTCCTTTCCACTCCAGTCCGTTCAATTCCATTCCTTCCCATTCCATTCCATTTCAATCCATTCCACTCCACTCCACTCAGTTCCATTCCACTGCCTTTCACTCCACTCCACTCCACTTCATCGCATTCCATTCGATTCCATTTGATGCCTTTCGACTCCATTCCGTTCCATTCCATACCGTTTGATTCCATTCCATTCGATTCATTTCGATTTGACTCCATTCCATTCCATTCCATTCAATTCCATTCCACTCCATTTCATTCCATTCCATTCCACTCCATTCTACTCCACTCCACTAAACTGCACTCCACTGCACTGCATTGCATTCCATTCCATTGCATTCGATTCAATTGCACTCCATTCCTTTCTATTCCATTCCATTCCATTCCACTGCATTCCAATCCACTCCACTCCACTCCATTCAATTTCATTCCACCAAATTACATTCCACTCCATTCCACTCCACTCCACTTTGCTGCATTCCATTCGATTCCAATAGATCCCATTCGATTCCATTCATATCCATTCCTTTCCATTCCATTCCACTCTACTCCACTCCACTCGACCTCATTCAATTCCATTCCATTGCATTCCACTCCACTCCACTCCACTTCAACACGTTCAATTAAATTCCATTCCCCTCCACTCCTTTCAAATCCTTTCCACTGCCCTCCATTCTATTTCATGTCATTCCACTCCACTCCTCTCTACTCCACTCCACTCCATTCCACTCCAGTCCACTCCAATCCTCTCCACTCCACTCCATTCCATTCCATTCCATAGCATTCCTCTCAACTCCACTCCACTACACTCCCTTAAATTCCATTCGTTTCCACCTCATTCCATTCTATGCCATTCCTTTCCTCTCCAATCCATTCCATTCCACTCCATTCCATTCCATCCCACTCGACTGCATTCCATTCCACTCCCCTCCCCTCCATTCCTCTCCATTCCACTCCAATACACTCCACTACACTCCAATTCAATCCACACCATTCCATTCCATTCCATTGCTTTCCACTCCACTCCACTCCATTCAATTCCATTACACCCCATTCCATTCCACTCCGTTCCACTCCACTCCACCACATTCCATTCGATTCAATTCGATGCCATTTCATTCCATTCGATTTGATTCCATTTCATTCAATTCAATTCCATTTCATTCCGTTCCATTCAATTGCGTTACATTCGATTCCATTCTATGCGATTCCATTCCATTTGATTCCTTCCCGTTCTTTTCCAAACCATTCAATTTAGTTCCATTCGAAACCATTCCATTCCATTCCACTCCATTCCATTCCATTAAACTCCACTCCACTCCAACCTACTCCACTCCACTCCAATCCCCTGCAATTCATTCCATTCCATTCCATTGCACTCCACTCCACTCCACTCCATTCAATTCCATTCCTTCCCATTCCTTTCCATTCCACTCCATTCCACTCCACTCCACTCCAGTGCTTTCCATTCCATTCCATTTTATTCCATGCCACTCCATTCCATTCCACTCCACTCCACTCCAATCCATTCCATTCCATTGCATTCCAATCCACTCCACTCCATTCCATTCCCTTCCTTCTGATTCCATTCCTTCCCATTCCACTCCATTCCACCCCATTCCACTCCACTGCACTCCACTTTATTCAATACAATTCCACACCATTCCATTCCTCTCCATTCGAGTCTACTCCACTCCACTTCACCACATTCTATTCCTATATATTAGATACCATTTGATTCCATTCCTTTTGATTCCATTTAATTCAATTCCTTTCTATTCGAGTCCATTGCATTCGAGTCCATTCCATTCAAGTCCATTCCATTCGGGTCCATTCCCTTCCGGTCCGTTCCATAGTATTCCATTCCATTCCACTCCACTCCACTCCATTCAATTCCACTCCACTCCACTTTTCTACACTCCTGTCCATTCCGTTCCATTCCATTCCTTTCCAACCCATTCCATTCCACTCCATTCCATTCTATTCTATTCCAATCCACTCCATTCCATTCCATTCTATTCCACTCCACTCCATTCCATTCCATTCCATTCCATTCCATTCCATTCCCCTCCATTCCATTCCAATCCACTCCATTCCATTCCACTCTACTCCATTCCATTCCACTCCCCTCCAGTCAACTCCAATCCCCTCCATTCCTTTCCACTGCATTGCATTCCATTGCAATTTATCCACTCCACTCCATTCCACTTCATTCCATTCCATTCCACTTCTTTCCATTCAACTCTACTCCACTCCACTCAACTCCAGTCCACTACACTCCATTCCATTCCATTGCGTTCCACTCCACTCCATTCTGTTCAATTCCATTCCTTCCCATTTAATTCCAATCCACTGCCTTCTACTCCACTCCTCTCCGTTCAATTCCATTGAACACCATTCCATTCCACTCCATTCCACTCCATTCCACTCCACTTCACCGCATTCCGTTTGATTCCATTCGGTGCCATTTTATTATATTCCATTCGATTATATTCCACTCGATTCCATTCCGTTACATTCCATTCCATTAGATTCCATTCCATTTGATTCCAATCCGTTAGATTCCATTCCATTCGATTTCATTCCATTTGATGCCTTTCAATTCGATTCCTATCCATACATTTCCATGCAATTCGTGACTATTACGTTCGATTCCATTCCATTTGAGTCCATTCCTTTCGAGTCCTCTCAATTCGAGTACGTGCCATTCGAGTCCATTCCACTTGATTCCATTCCATTCCAGTACATTCCATTCCAATCCTTTCAATGCTACAGCTTTCCATTCCATTTCATTCCAATCCTTTCCACTCTACTCCACTCCACTCCATTCCTTTCCATTCCATTCTACTGCATTCGTCTCCAATCCACTCTACTCAACTCTACTCCAATCAATTCCATTCCTTCCCCTTCCATTCCATTCCACTCCATTCCACTCCACTCCAATTCACTCCATTAAATTCCTTTCCACCCCATTCCATTGCACTCTTTTCCACTCCAATTAACTCGACTAAGTCCATTTGATTCCATTAGATGTCAATCGATTATATTGCATTCAATTCCATTCCATTCAATTTCATTCCGTTCGATTCTATTTCATTTGAATCCATTCCATTCGATCCCTTTCCATTCAAGCCCATTCCATTCCAGTCCATTCCATCCCACTCCGTTTCAACCAAGTCCATTCTATTCGAGTCCATTCCATTTTATTCCTTTCTATTCCATTGCATTCCATTCCACTCCACATGACTCCATTCCGTTCCACTCCATTCCACTCCACTACACTCCATTCCATACCATTCCATTCGCTTCCATTCCATTCCGTTCCATTCCACTCCACTCAACTCCACTCCACTTCACTCCACTCCACTCCTCTCTGCTCTGCTCCACTCCACTCCATTCCACTCCATTCCATTCCATTGCATTCCATTCCACTCCATTCCACTCCACTCCACTCCGTTCAATTCCCTTCTTCCCCATTCCATTCCATTCCACTCCATTCCACTAGAATCCAAGCTACTCCATTCAGTTTTGTTCCAACCCATTCCATTCCACTCAATTCCATTCCACTCCACTCCAGCTCACCGCACTCTGTTCGATCCCATTCAATGCCATTTGTTGCCATTCTATTCCATTGCATTTGATTCCATTCCATTCCATTCCATTCCATTCCATTCCATTCCATTCCATTCCATAATTCCATTTCATTCCATTACATTCCTTTCCATCCGATTCCATTCCTTCTGATTCCACTCCATTTGATTTCATTCCATTCCACTCCATTCCATTCGAGTCCATTCAATTCATATATATTCCCTTCCAGTCCATTCCATTTGAGTCCATTCCTTTGGAGTCCACTGAATTCGAGTACTTGCCATTCAAGTCCATTCCACTTGACTCCATTCCATTCCAGGCCATTCCAATCCAATCCATTACATGTCCCTGCTTTCCATTCCATTCCATTCCATTTTGTTCCACTTCACTCCACTCCATTCCATTCCTTTCTGTTCCATTCCACTGCATTCCTCTCCACTCCACTCAAATCTACTCCTGTCCATTCCATTCTGTTCCACTCCAATGCACTCCACTCCACTTCACTCCATTACATCCCTTTCCACGCCTTTCCATTCCAATCCCTTTAACTCCCATTCACTAAGTCCATTCAATTCCTTTCAATGCCATTTGATTACATTGCATTCAATTCCATTCCATTTGATTTCATTCCTTTTGGTTCCATTCCATTCGAATCCCTTCCATTCGAGCCCATTTCATTCAAGCCCATTCCATTCCATCCCACTCCGTTTCCTTCAAGTTCATTCCATTCCATTCCATTCCATTGTATTCCATTCTATTACATTGCATTCCATTTCACTCCGCTACACTCCATTCCTTACCATTCCATTCCCTTCCATTCCATTCCCTTCCATTCCCTTCCATTCCACTCCACTCATCTCCATTCCACTCCACTCCGCTCCACTCCATTCCATTCCATTGCATTCCTTTCTACTCCATTCCACTCCACTCCACTCCTTTCAATACCATTCCTTCCCATTCTATTCCATTCCACTCTATTCCACTACATTCCAAGCTACTCCATTCAGTTCCGTTCGAACCCATTCCATTCCACTCAATTCCACTCCACTCTGCCTCACCGCATTCTATTCGTTCCCATTTGATGCCATTCTTTGCCATTTGATTCCATTGCATTCGATGCCATTCCATTCGATTCCTTTTCATTTGATTCCATTCCATCCGATTCCACTCCATTTGAGTCTATTACATTCCAGACCATTCCAGTCGAGTCCATTCCATTCCAGTCCATTCCATTCGAGTCCATTCAATTCCAGTCCATTCCATTCCAGTTCATTCCATTCCATTCCATTCCATTCCACTTCACACCATTCCATTCCACTCCACTCCACTTCATTCAATTCAACTCCACTCCAGTGTAGTCCACTGCACTCCACTTCATTCCATTCCTTTCCATTGCATTGCATTCCACTCCTCTCCAATCCTCTCCACTCCATTCAATTCCATTTCTTCCCATTCCATTCCATTCCACTCCATGCCAATCCACTCCACTCCAATCCATTCAATTCCATTCCACCCCATTCCATTCCACTGTATTCCACTCCACTCCAGTTGACTTCACTGCATTCCATTCTATTCCATTCAATGCCATTGGATTTGATTCCATTCAATTACATTCCAATCAATTCCATTCCATTCGATTCCTTTCCATTGCATTCCATTGCATTCCATTGCATTCCATTCCATTCCATTCGTGTCCATTCCATTCGAATCCATTCTGTTCTATTCCACTCTATTCCGTTCCATTCCATTCTACTCCGTTCCATTCCATTCGATTCCAATCCATTTGAGTCCATTCCATTCGATTCTATTCCATTCCAGTCCATTCCCCTCCAGTCCATTCCATTCAAGTCCATTCCATTTCATTCCATTCCATTGCACTCCACTCCACTCCACTCCTGTCCATCCCAATACACTCCACTTCACTAGACTCCACTTCACTCAATTCCATTCCATTGCATTCCACTCCACTCCACTCCTTTCAATTCCAATCATTCCTATTCCTTTCCATTCCACTTCATTACCCTCAACTCGACTCCACTCCATTCAATTCCATTCCTCCACATTCCATTCCACTCCATTTCAACCCACTTTACTCCACTTCACCGCATTCCTTTCAATTCCATTTGATGCCATTCGATTCCATTACATTCGATACCATACCGTTTGTTTCCATTCCATTCCATTTCTTTCCATTCCATTCAATACCATTCCATTCAATTCCTTTCCATTCGATTCCATTCCATTCGATGCCATTCCATTCAATTCCATTCCATTTGATTCCATCCCATTCGGTTCCATTCCATTTGATTCCATTCCATTCGTTTCCATTCCATTCAAGTCCATTCCAATTTATTGCATTCCATTCCATTCCATTCCACTCCATTACATTCTATTACTTTGCATTCCACTCTGCTCCACTCCACTACACTCCACTTTGTTCAATTCCATTCTGTCCCATTCCATTGAATTCCATTCCGTTCCATTCCTTTCCATTCCATTCCATTCCTTTCTACTCCACTCCATTCCACGACATTCCACTCCATTCCACTCCATTGCATTCATTTACATTACACACCACTCCACTGCATTCCGCTACTTTCCACTCCACTCCAATCCACTCCACACCGTTCAATTCCATTCCCTCCCATTCCATTCAATTCCCTTCCATTCTACACCAGTCCACTACAATCCATTCAAATCCATTCCACCCCACTGCATTCCCATCCTTTCCACTCCACTGCACTTCACTTCACCGAATTCCATTCGATTCCATTTGATTTGATTCAATTCCATTCTATTACATTCTATTCGACTCCATTCCATTCCATTCCATTCCATTCCACTCCACTAAATTCCATTCCATTCCTTTCCTTTCCACTCAATTCCATTCCATTCCATTGCATTCCACTCTACTCCTCGGCACTCCACTCCACTCCACTCCATTCAATTCCATTCTATTGCTTTCCACTCCACTCCACTACGTTCAATTCCATTCCTTCTCATTCCATACCATTCAACTCCATTCCACTCCACTCCACTCCACTGTATTCAATTCCATTCCACACATTCCATTCCTCTCCTTTCCAATCCACTCCACTCCAATTCACCAAATTCCATTTGATTTCATTCCATTCCATTCTATTCCATTCCATTCTATTCCATTCCATTCCATTCAATTCGATTCCATTACATTCTATTCCATTCCACTTTATTCCATTCCATTTGAGTACATTCCATTCTATTCCATTCCATGCCTTTCCGTTGCACTCCACTCCACTCCACTCCACTCCATTCCACTCCATTCCACTCCACTCTCCTCCATTCCATTCCACTCCATTGCATTTAACTCCAGTCCAGTCCACTCCACTCGATTCAATTTCGTTACTTCCCATTCCTTTCCATTCCACTCTATTCCACTCTACTCCACTACATTCAATTACATTACCCGCATTCCATTCAACTCCATTCCACTCCACTGCACTCTACTATACCACATTCCATTCAATTCCATTTGATGTCATTCGATTCCATTCCGATTGATTCCATTTCATCCGATTCCATTGCATTCTATTTCATTGCATTCTATTCCACTCTGTTCGATTCCATTCCGTTCGAGTCCATTCCATTCCAGTCCATTCCATTCGTGTCCATTCCATTCCAGTCCAGTCCATTCCATTCCAGTCCATTCCATTCGTGTCCATTCCATTCCAGTCCATTCTATTCCAGTCCATTCCATTCAAGTCCCTTCCATTCCATTCGTGTCCATTCCTTTACTATCCATTCCATTCCATTGCAATACATTCCACTCCACTCCACTCCACTCCACTCCATTCAGTTCCTATCCTTCCCATTCCATTACATTCCACTCCATTCCACTCCACTCCACACCACCACATTCAATTCCATTCCACCAAATTCCCTTCAACTCCATTCCACTCCCCTCCTCTCCACTTTACCATATTCCTTTTGATTTCATTTGATGACATTCGATTCCATTCAATTCGATTCCATTCCATTCGATTCTATTCCATTCAATCACTTTCGATTTGATTCCTTTCCATTCCATTCCTTTTCATTACATCACATTAAATTTTATTCACTTCCATATGATTCCATTCCATTCTATTTGATTCGATTCCATTCCATTACATTATGTTTGATTCCATTCCATTCAATTCCATTCCATTCGAGTCCATTCCATTCATGTCTGTTCCATTCCAGTCCATTCTATTCGAGTCCACTCCATCCCACTTCATTCCATTAGAGTCCATACCTTTCCATTCCATTGCATTCTATTCCATTCCACTCCACTCCACTCCTTTCCACTCTACTCCACTCCATTCCATTCCATTCCACTCCATTCCATTCCACTTCACTCCACACCATCCTAACCCACTCCAGACCATTCCGTTCCTATCTTTTCCATTCCATTTTACTCAATTGCATTGCATTCCATTCCATTCCATTCCATTGCATTCCATTCCACTCCACTCTACTCCAGTCCCCTCCATTCAATACCATTCCTTCCCATTCCATTTCATTCCACTCCATTCCACTCCACTCCTCTCCATTACATTCAATTCCATTCCACCCTATTCTATTCCACTCCATTCCACTTCACTCCTCTCCAATTCACCGCATTCCATTCGATTCCATTCGATGCCATTTCATTCCATTCCATTCAATTCCATTCCATGCGATTCCATTCACTACTATTCCATTTGATCTCATTCCATTCAAAGCCATTCCATTCCATTCGATTCCATTCCATTCCATTATATTTGATTCCATTCCATTAGCGTCCATTTTATTTGAGTGCATTCCATTTAAGTCCTTTCCATTCCAGTCCATTCTATACCAGTTCATTTCATATGAGTCCATTTTATTCAATTCCATTCTATTCCATTCCACTCCCCTCCACACCTCTCCTCTCCACTCCACTCCATTCCATCCATTCCATTACATTCCACTCCACTCCGCTCCACTGCACTCCTTTCAATTCCATTCCTTACCATTCCATTCCATTCGCCGCCACTCCAATACACTCTACTCTATTCCATTCCACTCCATTCCATTCCACTCCATTCCACTTTGCTCCAATTCAGTTTGCCACATTCCATTTGATTCCATTCGATTCTGGTTGATTCTAATCCATTCAATTATATTGCATTCGATTCCATTCCCTTTGGGTCCATCCATTCTAGTCCACTCCAATTCTTTCTATTCCATTCCACTCTGTTGAGGCCTATTTTGGAAAAGGAAATATCTTCACATAAAAACTACACAGAAGCATTCTGAGAAACTTCTTCATGAGTTGTGCATTCAACTCACAGAGTTGAACTTATCTTGTCACTGAGCACTTTTGAATCTCTCTTTTTGTAGAATCTGCAAGTGGATATTTTGAGCCCTTTGTGCCCTATGGTGGAATAGGAAATATCTTCAAATAAAAACTACACAGAACCATTCAGAGAAACTTCTTTGTGATGAATGCATTCCTCACACAGAGTTGAAACTTTCTTTTTATTGAGCAGTTTTGAAACACCCTTTTTGCAGAAAGACCAATTGGATATTTGGAGAGTTTTGAGGCCTATTGTGTAAAAGGAAATATCCTCAAATAAAAACTATCCCAGAAGCATTCTGAGAAACTTCATTGTGATGTGTGCATTCAACTCACAGAGATGAACCTATCTTTTGACTGAGCAGTTTTGAATCTCTCTTTTTGTAGAATCTGTAAGGGGATATTTGGAGCCCTTTGTGCCCTATTGTGTAAAAGGAAATATCTTCATATAAAAACTACACAGAAGCATTCAGAGAAACTTCTTTGTGATGAATACATTCCTCACACGGAGTTGAACCTTTTTTTTTATTGAGCAGTTTTGAAACATCCTTTTTGAAGAATGACCTAGTGGATATTTGCAGAGTGTGGGGCCTATTGTGGAAAAGGAAATACCTTCACATTAAAACTACGTGGAAGCATTCTGAGAAACTTGTTTGTGATGAGTGCATTCATCACACAGAGTTGAACCTTTATTTTTATTGAGCAGTTATGAAACACTCTTTTTGCAGAACCAGCAAGTGGATATTTGGAGAGCTTTGAGGCCTGTTGTGGAAAAGGAAATATCTTCAAATAAAAACTACACTGGAGGAGGAGCCAAGATGGCTGAATAGGAACAGCTCCAGTCTACAGCTCCCAGCGTGAGAGACGCAGAAGACGGGTGATTTCTGCTTTTCCATCTGAGGTACCGGGTTCATCTCACTAGGGAGTGCCAGACAGCAGATGCAGGACAGTGGGAGCAGTGCACAGTTCATGAGCTGAAGCAGGGTGAGGCACTGCCTCACTCGGCAAGTGCAAGGGGTCAGGGAGTTCCCTTTCCGAGTCAAAGAAAGGGGTGACGGACGCACCTGGAAAATCGGGTCACTCCCACCCGAATATTGCGCTTTTCAGACCGGCTTAAAAAACGGCGCACCACGAGACTATATCCCACACCTGGCTCAGAGGGTCCTACGCCCACAGAATCTCGCCGATTGCTAGCACAGCAGTCTGAGATCAAACTGCAAGGCGGCAGCGAGGCTGGGGGAGGGGCGCCCGCCATTGCCCAGGCTTGCTTAGGTAAACAAAGCAGCTGGGAAGCTCGAACTGGGTGGAGCCCACCACAGCTCAAGGAGGCCTGCCTGCCTCTGTAGGCTCCACCTCTGGAGGCAGGGCACAGACAAACAAAAAGACAGCAGTAACCTCTGCAGACTTAAATGTCCCTGTCTGACAGCTTTGTAGAGAGCAGTGGTTCTCCCAGCACGCAGCTGGAGATCTGAGAACCAGCAGACTGCCTCCTCAAGTGGGTCCCTGACCCCTGAACCCCGAGCAGCCTAACTGGGAGGCACCCCCCCGCAGGGGCACACTGACACCTCACACGGCAGGGTATTCCAACAGACCTGCAGTTGAGGGTCCTGTCTGTTAGAAGGAAAACTAACAAAGAGAAAGGACATTCACACCGAAAACCCATCTGTACATCACCATCATCAAAGACCAAAAGTAGATAAAACCACAAAGATGGGGAAAAAACAGAACAGAAAAACGGGAAACTCTCAAATGCAGAGCGCCTCTCCTCCTCCAAAGGAACGCAGTTCCTCACCAGCAACGGAACAAAGCTGGATGGAGAATGACTTTGACGAGCTGAGAGAAGAAGGCTTCAGACGATCAAATTACTCTGAGCTATGGGAGGACATTCAAACCAAAGGCAAAGAAGTTGAAAACTTTGAAAAAAATTTAGAAGAGTGTATAACTAGAATAACCAATACAGAGAAGTGCTTAAAGGAGCTGATGGAGCTGAAAACCAAGGCTCGAGAACTACGTGAAGAATGCAGAAGCCTCAGGAGCTGATGCGATCAACTGGAAGAAAGGGTATCAGCAATGGAAGATGAAATGAATGAAATGAAGCGAGAAGGGAAGTTTAGAGAACAAAGGATAAAAAGAAATGAGCAAAGCCTCCAAGAAATATGGGACTATGTGAAAAGACCAAATCTACGTCTGATTGGTGTACCTGAAAGTGACGCGGAGAATGGACCAAGTTGGAAAACACTCTGCAGGATATTATCCAGAAGAACTTCCCCAATCTAGCAAGGCAGGCCAACGTTCAGATTCATGAAATACAGAGAACGCTAAAAAGATACTCCTCAAGAAGAGCATCTCCAAGACACATAATTGTCAGATTCACCAAAGTTGAAATGAAGGAAAAAATGTTAAGGGCAGCCAGAGAGAAAGGTCGGGTTACCCTCAAAGGGAAGCCCATCAGACTAACAGTGGATCTCTCTGCAGAAACCCTACAAGCCAGAAGAGAGTGGGGGCCAATATTCAACATTCTTAAAGAAAATAATTTTCAACCCAGAATTTCATATCCAGCCAAACTAAGCTTCATAAGTAAAGGAGAAATAAAATACTTTACAGACCAGCAAATGCTGAGAGATTTTGTGACCAGCAGGCCTGCCCTAAAAGAGCTCCTGAAGGAAGCGCTAAACATGGAAAGGAACAACTGGTACCAGCCGCTGCAAAATCATGCCAAAATGTAAAGACCATCGAGACTAGGAAGAAACTGCATCAACTAACGAGCAAAATCCCCAGCTAACATCATAAGGACAGGATCAAATTCACACATAACAATATTAACTTTAAATGTAAATGGACTAAATGCTCCAATTAAAAGACACAGACTGGCAAATTGGATAAAGAGTCAAGACCCATCAGTGTGCTCTATTCAGGAAACCCATCTCACGTGCAGAGACACACATAGGCTCAAAATAAAAGAATGGAGGAAGATCTACTAAGCAAATGGAAAACAAAAAAAGGCAGGGATTGCAATCCTAGTCTCTGATAAAACAGACTTTAAACCAAGAAAGATCAAAAGAGACAAAGAAGGCCATTACATAATGGTAAAGGGATAAATTCAACAAGAAGAGCTAACTATCCTAAATATATATGCACCCAATACAGGAGGACCCAGATTCATAAAGCAAGTCCTGAGTGACCTACAAAGAGACTTAGACTCCCACACATTAATAATGGGAGACTTTAACACCCCACTGTCAACATTAGACAGATCAAGGAGACAGAAAGTCAACAAGGATACCCAGGAATTGAACTCAGCTCTGAACCAAGTAGACCTAATAGACATCTACAGAACTCTCCACCCCAAATCAACAGAATATACATTTTTTTCAGCACCACACCACACCTATTCCAAAATTGACCACATACTTGGAAGTAAAGCTCTCCTCAGCAAATATAAAAGAACAGAAATTATAACAAACTATCTCTCAGACCACAGTGCAATCAAACTAGAACTCAGGATTAAGAATCTCACTCAAAGCCACTCAACTACATGGAAACTGAACAACCTGCTCCTGAATGACTACTGGGTACATAACGAAATGAAGGCAGAAATAAAGATGTTCTTTGAAACCAATGAGAACAAAGACACAACATACCAGAATCTCTGGGACGCTTCAAAGCACTGTGTAGAGGGAAATTTATAGCACTAAATGCCCACAAGAGAAAGCAGGAAAGATCCAAAGTTGACACCCTAACATCACAATTAAAAGAACTAGAGAAGCAAGAGCAAACACATTCAAAAGCTAGCAGAAGGCAAGAAATAACTAAAATCAGAGCAGAACTGAAGGAAATAGAGACACAAAAAACCCTTCAAAAAATCAATGAATCCAGGAGCTGGTTTTTTGAAAGGATCAACAAAATTGATAGACCGCTAGCAAGACTAATAAAGAAAAAAAGAGAGACGAATCAAATAGACAAAATAAAAAATGATAAAGGGGATATCACCACCCATCCCACAGAAATACAAACTACCATCAGAGAATACTACAAACACCTCTACGCAAATAAACTAGAAAATCTAGAAGAAATGGATACATTCCTCAACACATACACTCTCCCAAGACTAAACCAGGAATAAGTTGAATCTCTGAATAGACCAATAACAGGAGCTGAAATTGTGGCAATAATCAATAGTTTACCACCCAAAAAGAATCCGGGACCAGATGGATTCACAGCCGAATTCTACCAGAGGTACAAGGAGGAACTGGTACCATTCCTTCTGAAACTATTCTAATCAATAGAAAAAGAGGGAATCCTCCCTAACTCATTTAATGAGGCCAGCATCATTCTAATACCAAAGCCAGGCAGAGACACAACCAAAAAAGAGAATTTTAGACCAATATCCTTGATGAACATTGATGCAAAAATCCTCAATAAAATACTGGCAAACCGAATCCAGCAGCACATCAAAAAGCTTATCCACCATGATCAAGTGGGCTTCATCCCTGGGGTGCAAGGCTGGTTCAATATAAGCAAATCAATAAATGTAATCCAGCATATAAACAGAGCCAAAGACAAAAACCACATGATTATCTCGATAGATGCAGAAAAAGCCTTTGACAAAATTCAACAACCCTTCATGCTAAAAACTCTCAATAAATTAGGTATTGATGGGACGTATTTCAAAATAATAAGAGCTATCTATGACAAACCCACAGCCAATATCATACTGAATGAGCAAAAACTGGAAGCATTCCCTTTGAAAACTGGCACAAGACAGGGATGCCCTCTCTCACCGCTCCTATTCAACATAGTGTTGGAAGTTCTGGCCAGGGCAAATAGGCAGGAGAAGGAAATAAAGGGTATTCAATTAGGAAAAGAGGAAGTCAAATTGTCCCTGTTTGCAGATGACATGATTGTATATCTAGAAAACTCCACTGTCTCAGCCCAAAATCTCCTTAAGCTGATAATCAACTTCAGCAAAGTCTCAGGATACAAAATCAACGTGCAAAAATCACAAGCATTCTTATACACCAACAACAGACAAACAGAGAGCCAAATCATGAGTGAACTCCCATTCACAATTGCTTCAAAGACAATAAAATACCTAGGAATCCAACTTACAAGGGATGTGAAGGACCTCTTCAAGGAGAACTACAAACCACTGCTCAATGAAATAAAAGAGGATACAAACAAATGGAAGAACATTCCATGCTCATGGCTAGGAAGAATCAATATCATGAAAATGGCCATACTGCCCAAGGTAATTTACAGATTCAATGGCATCCCTATCAAGCTACCAATGACTTTCTTCACAGAATTGGAAAAAACTACTTTAAAGTTCATATGGAACCAAAAAAGAGCCCGCATCGCCAAGTCAATCCTAAGCCAAAAGAACAAAGCTGGAGGCATCACACTACCTGAGTTCAGACTATACTACAAGGCTACAGTAACCAAAACAGCATGGTACTGGTACCAAAACAGAGATATAGGTCAATGGAACAGAACAGAGCCCTCAGAAATAACACCGCATACCTACAACTATCTGATCTTTGACAAACCTGAGAAAAACAAGCAATGGGGAAAGGATTCCCTATTTAATAAATGGTGCTGGGAAAACTGGCTAGCCATATGTAGAAAGCTGAAACTGGATCCCTTCCTTACACCTTATACAAAAATCAATTCAAGATGGATTAAAGATTTAAACATTAGACCTAAAACCATAAAAACCCTAGAAGAAAACCTAGGCATTAACATTCAGGACATAGGCATGGGCAAGGACTTCATGTCCAAAACACCAAAAGCAATGGCAACAAAAGCCAAAATTGACAAATGGGATCTAATTAAACTAAAGAGCTTCTGCACAGCAAAAGAAACTACCATCAGAGTGAACAGACAACCTACAAAATGGGAGAAAATTTTCACAACCTACTCATCTGACAAAGGGCTAATATCCAGAATCTACAATGAACTCAAACAAATTTACAAGAAAAAAACAAACAACCCCATCAAAAAGTGGGCAAAGGACATGAACAGACACTTCTCAAAAGAAGACATTTATGCAGCCAAAAAACACATGAAAAAATGCTCATCATCACTAGCCATCAGAGAAATGCAAATCAAAACCACAATGAGATACTATCTCACACCAGTTAGAATGGCAATCATTAAAAAGTAAGGAAACAACAGGTTCTGGAGAGGATGTGGAGAAATAGGAACACTTTTACACTGTTGGTGGGACTGTCAACTAGTTCAACCATTGTGGAAGTCAGTGTGGCGATTCCTCAGGGATCTAGAACTAGAAATAGCATTTGACCCAGCCATCCCATTACTGGGTATATACCCAAAGGAATATAAATCATGCTGCTATAAAGACACATGCACATGTATGTTTATTGCGGCACTATTCACAATAGCAAAGACTTGGAACCAACCGAAATGTCCAACAATGATAGACTGGATTAAGAAAATGTGGCACATATACACCATGGAATACTATACAGGCATAAAAAATGATGAGTTCATGTCCTTTGTAGGGACATGGATGAAATTGGACATCATCATTCTCAGTAAACTATCGCAAGAACAAAAAACTAAACACCGCATATTCTCACTCATAGGTGGGAATTGAACAATGAGATCACATGGACACAAGAAGGGGAATATCACACTCTGGGGACTGTGGTGGGGTTGGGGGAGGGGGGAGGGATAGCATTGGGAGATATACCTAATGTTAGATGACGAGTTAGTGGGTGCAGCGCACCAGCATGGCACATGTATACATATGTAACTAACCTGCACAATGTGCACATGTACCCTAAAACTTAAAGTATAATAATAATAAAAAAAACTGCACTGAAACATTCTGAGAAACTTCTTTGTGATGTGTGCATTCATATCACAGGTTTGAACCTAACTTATGATTGAGCAGTTTTGAAACACTCTTTTTGTGGAATCTGCAAGTAAATGTTTGGAGCGGTTTGAGGCCTATTGTAGAAAAGGAAATATCAACAAATAAATACTACACAGAAGCATTCAGAAAAACTTCTTTGTTGTGAGTGCATTCATCACACAGATTTGAACCTTTCCTTTGACTGAACAGTTTTGAGACACTCTTTTTGCAGAATCTGCAAGTGCATATTTTAGGACTTTGAGGACAGTTGTGGAAAAGGAAATATCTTCACATAAACACTACACAGAAGCTTTCTGAGACACTTCTTCGTGATGTGTGCATTCACCTCACTGGGTTGTACCTGTCTTATGATTGAGCAGTTTAGAACCGCTGTTTTTGTAGAATATGCAAGTGTATATTTGGAGCACATTGGGGCCTACCGTGGAAAAGGAAATATGTTCACATAAAAACTACACAGAAGCATTCTGAGAAACTTCTTTTTGATGTGTGCATTCATTTCACAGAGATGAACCTTTCTTTTGATTGAGCAGTTTTGAAACACTATATTTGTAGAATCTACAAGTGGATATTTGGAGAGCTTTGAGTCCTATTTTGGAAAAGGAAATATCTTCACATAAAAACTACACAGAAGCATTCTGAGAAACTTCTTTGTGAGGTGTGCATTCAACTCACGGATTTGAACTTTTCTCTTCATTGAGCACTTTTGAATCTCTCTTTTTCTAGAATCTGCAAGTGGATATTTGGAGCTCTTTGCACCCTGTGTTGGAAAAGGAAATATCTTCAAATAAAAACTACACATAAGCATTCTGAGAAACTTCTTTGTGTTGAGTGCATTCATCACACAGAGTTGAACGTTTCCTTTGATTGAGCAGTTTTGAAACGCTCTTTTCGTAGAATCTGGAAGTGGATATTTGGAGGGCTTTGAGGCCAATTTTGGAAAAGAAAATATCTTCACATAAAAATTACACATAGACATTCTGAGAAACTTCTTTTTTATTTGTGCATTCAACTCACAGAGTTGAATCTATCTTTTGATTGAGCCGTTTGGAATCTCTCTTTTGTAGAATCTGCTAGTGAATATTTGGAGACCTTTGTGCCCTATTGTGGAAAAGGAAATATCTTCAAATAAAAACTACACGGAAGAATTCTGGGAAACTTCTTTGTGATGTGTGCATTCAGGTGACACGTTTGAACCTATCTTATGATTGAGCAGTTTTCAATCTCTCTTTTTGTAGAATATGCAAGTGGATATTTGGAGCCCTTTGCACCCTATGGTTGAAAAGGAAACATCTTCAAATACAAACTACACAGAAGCATTCAGAGAAACACCTTTGTGATGACTGCATTGATCACAAAGAGTTTAAAGTTTCTTTTGACTGAGCAGTTTTGATACACTCTTTTTGTAGAAACTCAAAGTAACTATTTGGAGGGCTTTAAGGCCTATTTTGGGAAAGGATATATCTTAACATAAAAACTGCACAGAATTATTCTGAGAAACTCCTTTGTTATGTGTGCATTCAACACACAGAGTTGAGCCTATCTTTTGATTGAGCAGTTTTCAATCTCTCTTTTTGCAGAATCTGCAAGTGGATATTTGTAGCACTTTGAGGCCTACTGTGGAAAAGCAAATATCTTCAAATAAAAACTACACAGAAGCATTCTGAGAAACTTTTTTGTGAGGTGTGCATTCAACCCACAGACTCGAATCTTTCTTTTGATTGAGCAGTTTTCAATCTTTCTGCAGAATCTGCAAGTGGATATTTGGAGTGCTTTGTGGCCTATTGTGGAAAAGGAAATATCTTCAAATAAATACTACACAGAAGAATTCTGGGAAACTACTTTATGATGTATACATTCAGCTCACAAGTTTGAACCTATCTTATGATTGAGCAGTTTTGAATCTCTCTTTTTGTAGAATCTGAAAGTGGATATTTGGAGCCCTTGCATCCCATGGGGGAAAAGGAAATATCTTCAAATAAAAACTGCACAGCAGCATTCAGAGGAACTCCTTTGTGATGAGTGCATTCATCACAAAGAGTTCAAAGTTTCTTTTGATTGAGCAGTTTTGAAACACTCTTTTTGTAGAATCTCGAAGTAGCTATTTGGAGGGCTTTGAGGCCTATTTTGGAAAAGGATATATCTTAACATAAAAACTACACATAATTATTCTGAGAAACTACTGTGTTATGTGTGCATTCAACACACAGAGTTGAACCTATCTTTTGATTGGGCAGTTTTGAATCTCTCTTTTTGCAGAATCTGCAGGTCGATATTTGTAGCGTTCTGAGACCTACTGTGGAAAAGCAAATATCTTCAAATAAAACTACACAGAAGCATTCTGAGAAACTTTTTTGTGAGGTGTGCATTCAACTCACAGAGTCAAACCGATCTTTTGATTGGGCAGTTTTGAATCTCTCTTTTTGCAGAACCAGCAAGTGGATATTTGGAGTGCTTTGAGGCCTATAGTGGAAAAGGAAATATCTTCACATAAAAACTACACAGAGGCATTCTGAGAAACTTCCTTGTGATGTGTGCATTCAACTCACAGAGTTGAACCTATCTTTTGATTGAGCAGTTTAGAATCTCTCTTTTTGCAGAATCTGCAATTGGATATTTGGAGCGATTTGAAGCCTATTGTGGAAAAGGAAATATCTTCACATAAAAACTACACAGAGGCATTCTGAGAAAACACTTTGTGATGTGTGCATTCAACTCACAGAGTTGAACCTATCTTTTGATTGAGCAGTTTTGAATCTCTCTTTTTGTAGCATCTGCAGGTGGATATTTGGAGCCCTTTGTGGCCTACAGTGGAAAAGAAAATATCTTCAAATAAAAACAACACAGAATCATTCCGGGAAACGTTTTTGTGATGAGTGCATTCATCCCAAAGGGTTGAATCTTTCTATTGACTGAGTAATTTGGAAACACTCTTTTTGTAGAATCTGAAAGTGGATATTTGAAAAGCTTTGTGGTCTATTTTGGAAAAGGAAATATCTTCAGATAAAAACTACACAGAAGCTTTCTGGGAAACTTCATTGTTAGATGTGCATTCAAGTCACAGATTTTAACCTATCTTTTGATAGAGCAGTTTTGAAACTCTCTTTTTGTAGAATCCGCAAGTGGATATTTGGAGCTTTTTGTGGCCTATGTTAGAAAATGAAATACTCTCACATAAAATCTATACAGAAACTATCTGAGAAATCTGTTTGTGATGTGTGCGTTCATCTCAAAGAGTTGAACCTTTCTTTTGATTGAGCAGTTTGGAAACACTCTTTTTGTAGAATGTGCAAGTGGACATTTGGAGCGCCTTGTGGCCTATGGTAGAAAAGGAAATATCTTCACATAAAATCTAGACACAAGCAATCTGAGAAACTTCTTTGTGATGTGTGCATTCATCTCACAGAGTGAAATCTTTCTTTTGATAGAGCAGTTTTGAAACACTCTTTTTGCAGAATCTGCAAGTGGACATTTGGAGCGCTTTGTGGTCTTTGGTGGAAAAGGAAATATCTTCACATAAAATCTAGACAGAAGCAATCTGAGAAACTTCTTTGTGATGTGTGCGTTCATCTCACAGAGTTGATCTTTTCTTGATGGAGCAGATTTGGAACTCTCTTTTTGTAGTATCTGCAAGTGGAAAATGGGAGTGCCCTATGGCCTTTTGTGGAAAATAAATTATCTTCACTTAAAAACTACACAGGAGAATTCTGAGAAACTTCTTTGTGATGTGTGCATTCATCTCACTGAGTTGAAACTTTTTTTTGATTGAACAGTGTGGAAACACTCTTTTTGTTGAATCTGCAAGTGGACATTTGGAGTACTTTTTAGCATATGGTAGAAAAAGAAATATCCTCACATAAAATCTATACAGAAGCAATCTGTGAAACTTCTTTGTAATGTGTGCATTCATCTCACAGAGTTAAAAATTTCTTTTGATAGAGCAATTTTGAAACTCTCTTTTGTAGAATCTGCAAGTGAGCATTTGGAGCACTTAAAGGCCTATGGTGGAAAAGGAAATATCTTCACATAAAAACTAGACAGAAGAATTCTGAGAAACTTCTTTGTGATTTGTGGCTTCATCTCACAGAGTTGAACCTTTCTTTTGATTGAGCAGTTTGGAAACACTATTTTGTACAATCTGCAAGTGGATATTTGGAACGCTTTGCGGCCTAAAGTAGAAAAGGAAATATCTTTACATAAAATCTAGAAAGAAGCAATCTGAGAAACTTATTTGTGATGTGTGCATTCATCTCACAGAGTTAAACCTTTCCTTTGATTGAAAAGTCTTGAACTCTCTTTTTGAAGGATCTGCAAGAGGACATTTGTAGCACTTTGCGGCCGACGTTAGAAAAGGAAATATCTTCACATAAAATCTAGACAGAAGCAATCTGAGGAACTTCTTTGTAATGTGTGCATTCATCTCACAGAGGTAACTCTCTCTTTTGTCTGAGCAGTTCTGAAACTCTCTTTTGTTGAATCTGCAAGATGACATTTGGGACGCTTTGACGCCAATAGTGGAAAAGGAAATATCTTCACATAAAAACTAGATAGAAGCATTCTGAGAAAGTTTTTGTGATATGCACAATCATCTCCCAGAGTCGAACCTTTCCATTGATGGACCAGTTTTGAAACACTCTTTGTTTAGAATCTGCAAGTGGACATTTCAAGCGCCTTGAGGCCTGTGGTGGAAAATGAAATATCTTCACATAAAAACTAGACAGAAGAATTCTGAGAAACTTCTTGGTGATGTGTGCATTCGTCTCACAGAGTTGAACCTTTCTTTTGATTTAGCAGTATGGAAACACTCTTTTTGTATAATTTGTAAGTGAATATTTGGAGCACTTTGCAGCCAATGGCAGAAAATTTAATATCTTCACATAAAATCTGACAGAAGCAACCTGAAAATCTTCTTTGTGATGTGTGCATTCACCTCAAAGAGCTAAACCTTTCTTTTGATTGTGGAGTTTTGAAATTCTCTTTTTGTAGAATCTGAAAGTGGATATTTGGAGGGCTTTGTGGCCTATGGTGGAAAAGGAAATATCCTCACATAAAAACTAAGCAGATGTATACAGATAAATATCTTTGTGATGTCTGCATTCATCTCATAGAGGTAAGCCTTTCTTTTGACTGAGCAGTTTGGAAACAAACTTTTTTGAGAATCCACAAGTGGACATTTTGTGCGCTTTGTGGCCTATTGTAGAAAAGGAAATATCTTCACATAAAATCTAGACAGAAGCAATCTGAGCAATTTCTTTGTGATGTGTGCATTCATCTCACAGAGTTGAATCTTTCTTTTGATTGAGCAGTTTGGAAACACTCTTTTTGTAGGATCTGCAAGTGGACATTAGGAGCACTTTGAAGCCTATGGTAGAAAAGGAAATATCTTCACATAAAATCTAGACAGAAGCAATCTGAAAATCTTCTTTGTGATGTGTGCATTCATCTGACAGAGTTAAACCTTTTCTTTTGATAGATTAGTTTTGAAACTGTCTTTTTATAGAATCTGCATGTGGACATTTGGAGCGTTTTGAGATCTATTGTGGAAAAGGAAACATCTTCACATGAAAACTAGAGAGAAGAATTCTGAGAAACTTCTTTGTGATGTGTGCGTTCATCTCAGAGTTGAACGTGTCTTTTGAGGGAGCATTTTGGAAACACTCTTTTTTTCAAAACTGCATGTAGACACTTGGAGCGATTTGCAGCCTATGGCAGAAAAGGAAATATCTTCACATAAAATCTAGACAGAACAAATCTGAGAAACTTCTTTCTGATGTGTGCATTCATCTCAGAGAGTTAAACCTTTCTTTTGATTGAGGTGTTTTGAAACTCTCTGTTTGTAGAATCTGCAAGTGGACATTTTGAACGATTTGAGGCCTATAGTGGGAAAGGAAATATCTCCACATAAAAACTAGACAGAAGAATTCTTAGAAACTTCTTCATGATGTGGGCGTTCATCTCACAGAGTTGAAGCTTTCTTTTGTTGAGCAACTTGGAAACATTCTTTTTGTAGAATCTGCAAGTGCACATTTGGAACGCTTTGCGGCCTGTGGTAGAAAAGGAAATATCTTCACATAAAATCTAGACAGAAGTAATCTGAGAAACCTCTTTGTGATATGTGCACTCACCTCACAGAGTTTAACCATTCTTTTGTTTAAGCAGTTTTGAAACTCTTTTTGCAGAATCTGCAAGTGGACGTTTGGAGTGCTTTGAGGCCTATGGTGGAAAAGGAAATATCTTTACATAAAAACTAGAAAGAAGAGTTCTGAGACAATACTTTCTGATGTGTGCATTTATCTCACAGAGTTGGACCTTTCTTTTGATTGAGTAGTTTGGAAACACTCTTTTTGTAGAATCTACAAGTGGACATTTGGAGCACTTTGCAGCCTGCGGTAGAAAAGGAAATATCTTCACATAAAAACTAGACAGAAGATTTCTGAGAAACTTCTTTGTGTTGTGTGCATTAATCTCACAGAGGTAAATCTTTCTTTTGATTGAGCAGTTTTGCAACTCTCTTTTTGTAGAATCTGCAAGTGGACATTTGGAGGGCTTTGAGGACTAAGGTGGAAAAGGAAATATCTTCACATAAAAACTAGACAGAAGAATTCTGAAAAACTTCTTTGCGATGTGTGCATTCATCTCACAGGATTGAACCTTTCTTTTCATTGAGCAGTTTTGAAACACTCTTTTTGTAGAATCTGCAAGTGGATATTTCGAGAACCTTGAGGCCTATGGTAGAAAAGGGAATATCTTCACATAAAAACTAGACAGAAGAATTCAGAGAAACTTCTTTGTGATGTATGCGTTCATCTCACAGAGTTGAACCTTTCTTTTGGTGGTGCAGTTTGGAAACACTCTTTATGTAGGATCTGCAGGTGGACATTGGGAGCACTTTGTGGCCTATGGTAGAAAAGGAAATATCTTCATATAAAATCTAAACAGAAGCAGTCTGAGAAACTTCTTGGTGATGTAGGCATTCATATCACAGAGGTAAACTTTTCTTTTGATTGAGCAGTTTTGAAACACTCTTTTTGTAGAATCTGCAAGTGAACTTTTGGAGCACTTTGATGCCTATGGTGGAAAGTTAATATCTTCACATAAATCTAGACAGAAGAATTCTGAGAAACTTCTTTGTGATGTGGGGGTTCATCTCACGTAGTTGTACCTTTCTTTTGATTAAGCAGTTTGTAAACACTCTATTTTTAGAATCTGCAAGTGGACAATTGAAGCGATTTGCATGCAGCCTATGGTAGAAAAAGGAAATATCTTCACATGAAATCTAGACAGAAGCAACCTGAGAAACTATATTGTAATGTGTGCATGCATCTCAGAGAGTTAAACATTTCTTTTGATTGAGCAGTTTTTAAACTCTCTTTTTGTAGGATCTGCAATTCAACATCTGGAGCGCTTTGACGCCTATGGTGGAAAAGAAAATATCTTCACATAAAAACTAGACAGAAGAATTCTGAGAAACTACTTTGTGATGGGTGCGTTCATCTCACAGCGTTGAACTTTTCTTTTGATTGAGCAGTTGTGAAACACTATTTTTGGAGAATCTGCAAGGGAAATTTGAAGAGCTTAGAGACCTATGGTTGAAAAGGAAATGTCTTCACATAAAAACTACATAGAATCATTCTGAGACCTTCTTAGTGATGTGTGCATTCATCTCCCAGAGTTGAAACTTTCTTTTGATGGACCTGTTTGGAAATACTTTTTTGTAGAATCTGCATGTGGACTTTTCGAGTGCCTTGACGCCTATGGTGGAAAATGAAATTTCTACACATAAACACTAGACAGAAGAATTCTGAGAAACTTCTTTGTGATGTGTGTGTTCATCTCACAGAGTTGAACATTTCTTTTGATTGAGCAGTTTGAAAACACTCATTTTGTAGGATCTGCAAGTGGAGATTTGGAGCGCTTTGCAGCCTATGGTAGAAAAGGAAATATCTTCACATAAAATCTAGACAGAAACAATCTGAGAAACTTCTTTGTGATGAGAACATTCATCTCACAGAGTTAAACCTTACTTTAGATTGAGCAGTTTTGAAAATCTCTTTTTGCAGAATCTGCAAGTGGACATTTGGAGCACTTTGAGGCCTATGGTCTGAAAAGAAATACCTTTACATGAAAACAAGATAGAAGAATTCTGAGAAACTTCTTTGTGATGTGTGCGTTCATCTCACAGAGTTGAAACTTTCTTTTGATTCAGCAATTTGGAAACACTCTTTTTGTAGAATCTGCAAGTGGACATTTGGAACGCTTTGGGGCCCATGGTGGAAAAGGAAATATCTTCACATAAACACTAGGCAGAAGAATTCTGAGAAACATCTTTGTGATGTGTGCATTCAATTGACAGAGTTGAATCTTTGTTTGAGCAGTTTGGAAACACTCTTTTTATAGAATCTACTTTTGGACATTTGGAGCGCTTTGTGACCTATGGTAGAAAAGGAAATATCTTCACATAAAATCTAGACAAAAGCAATCTGAGAAACTTCCTTGTGATGTGTGCATTCATCTCATAGAGTTAAACCCTTCTTTTGACTAAGCAGTTTTGAAACTCTCCTTTTGTAGAATCTGGAAGTGGACATTTAGAGCACTTTGAGGCCTATTGTGGAAAAGGGAATATCTTCACATAAATACTAGACAGAAGAATTCTGAGAAACTTTTTGCGATGTGTGCATTACCTCACAGAGTAGAACCTTTCTTTTGATTGAGCAGTTTGGAAACACTCTTTTTGTAGACTCTGCACGTAGATATTTGGAGCACCTTGTGGCCCGTGTTAGAAAAGGAAATATCCTCACATAAAATCTAGACCGAAGCAATCTGGGAAAGTTCTTTGTGATGTGTGCATTCATAACACAGAGGTAAACCTTTCTTTTGATTGAACAACTTTTTTTCTTTTGATTGAACAACTTTTTGATTGTACAGAGTTTGATTTGAAACTCTCTTTTTGTAGAATCTGCAAGTGGACATTTACAGAGCTTTGAGATCTACTGTGGAAAAGGAAATATCTTCACATAAATACTAGACAGAAGAATTCTGAGAAACCTCTTTGTGATGTGTGCATTACCTCACAGAGTTGAACCTTTCTTTTGATTGAGCAGTTTGGAAACAGTCTTTTTGTAGAATATGCAAGTGGACATTTTGAGCACCTTGCAGCCATGTTAGAAAGGGAAGTATCTTCACATAAAATCTAGACAGAAGCAATCTGAGAAAGTTCTTTGTGATGTGTGCATTCATAACACAGAGGTAAACCTTTCTTTTGTTTGAATAGTTTTGAAACTCTCTTTTTGTGGAATCTGCAAGTGGACATTTACAGCGCTTTGAGGCCTATTGTGGAAAAGGAAATATCTTCACATAAATACTAGACAGAAGAATTCTGAGAAACTTCTTTGTGATGTGTGCATTACCTCACAGAGTTGAACCTTTCTTTTGATTGAGCAGTTTGGAAACACTCTTTTTGTAGAATCTGCAAGTGGACATTTGGAGCACCTTGTGGCCCATGTTAGAAAAGGAAGTATCTTCACATAAAATCTAGACAGAAGCAATCTGAGAAACATCTTTGTGATGTGGGCATTCATCTCACAGTGTTAAATACTTGTTTTGATTGAGAAATTTTTAGACTCTCTTTTTGTAGAATATGCAAGTGAACATTTGAAGAGCTTTGAGGACTATGGTGGAAAAGGAAATATTTTCACATAAAAACTAGACAGAAAAATTCTGAGAAACTTCCTTGTTATGTGTAAGTTCATCTCACCGAGTTGAATCTTTTGATACAGCAGTTTGGAAACACTCTTCTTATAGATTCTTATAGATTCTGCTAGCGGACATTTGAGTACTTTGCTGCATATGGCAGAAAAGGTAATATCTTCACGTAAAATCTATACAGAAGCAATCTGAGAAACACCTTTGTGATGTGTTCCTTCAACTCAAGGAGTTAAACATTTCTTTTGATTGAGGAGTTTCGAAACTCTCTTTTTGTCGAATCTGCAAGTGAACATTTGGAGCGCTTTGGGGCACATGGTGGAAAAGGAAATATCTTCACATAAAAAATAGGCAGAAGAATTCTGAGAAACTTCTTTGTGATGTGTGCATTCATTTCACAGAATTGAGTCTTTTCTTTGATTGAGCAGTTTGGAAACACTCTTTTTATAGAATCTACTTTTGGATATTTGGAGCGCCTTGCGGCCTATGGTAGAAAAGGAAATATCTTCACATAAAATCTAGACAAAAGCAATCTGAGAATCTTCTTTGTGATGTGTGCATTCATCCATAGATTTTATGTGAATATATTTCCTTTTCTAGCATAGGCCACAAACACTCCAAATGTCCACTTGCAGATTCTACAAAAAGAGTGTTTCCAAGCAGCTCAATCAAAGAAAGATCCAACTCTGTGAGATGAACGCACACATCACAAAGTAGTTTCTCAGAAATCTTATGTCTAATTTTTATGTGAAGATATTTCATTTTCCACCATAGGCCTCAGGCACTGGAAATGTCCACTTGCAGATTCTACCAAAAGAGTATTTCAAAACTGGTCCATCAAAAGAAAGGTTCAACTCAGGGAAATGAATGTAAACATCACAAAGCAGTTTCTCAGAATGCTTCTATCTAGTTTTTCTGTGAAGATATTTCCTTTTCCACAATAGGCCTCAAAGTACTCCAAATGTCTACTTGCAGATATTACAAAAAGAGAATTTCAAAAATGCTCAGTCAAAAGAAAGGATTAACTCTGTGAGATGAATGCACACATCACAAGAGTGTTTCTCAGACGACTTCTGTTGAGATTTTTTGTGAAGATATTTCCTTTTCTACCACAGGTCGCAAAGCGCTCCAAATGTCCACTTGCAGATTCTAGAAAGAGTGTTTCCAAACTGCTTAATCAAAAGAAAAGTTCAAGTCTGTGAGATGACTGCATGCATCACAAAGAAGTTTCTCAGAATTATTCTGTCTAGTTTTTCTGTGAAGATATTTCCTTTTCCTCCACAGGCCTCAAACGGCTCAAAAGGTACACTTGCAGATTCTACAAAAATAGAGTTTCAAAACTGCTCAATCAAAAGAAAGGTTTAACTGTGTGAAATGAATGCACATATCACAAAGAAGTTTCTCAGATTGCTTCTGTCTAGATTTTATGTGAAGATATTTCCTTTTCTACCATAGGCCTCAAATCGCTCCAAATGTCCACATGCAGATTCTACAAAAAGATTGTTTCCAAACTGCCCAATCAAAAGAAATATTCAACTCTGTGAGATGAATACACACATCACAAAGAAGGTTCTCAGAATTCTTCTGTCAAGTTTTTATGTGAAGATATTTCCTTTTCCACCTTAGGCCTCAAAGCTCTCCAAATGTCCACTTGCAGATACTACAAAAAGAGAGTTTTAAAACTGCACAATCAAAAGAAATGTTTAACTCTGTGAGATGAATTCACACATCACAAATAAGTTTCTCAGATTGCTTCTGTCTAGATTTCATGTGAAGATATTTCCTTTTCCACCAAAGGCTGCAAAGCTCTCCAAATGTCCACTTTCAGATTCTGCAAAAAGAGTGTTTCCAAACTGCTCAATAAAAAGAAAGGTTGAACTCCTTAAGATGAAGGCACACATCACAAAAAAGTTTCTCAGAATTCTTCTGTCTACTATTGATGGGAAGATATTTCCTATTCCACCATTGGCCTCAAAGCCCTCCAAATGTCCACTTACAGATTCTACAAAGAGATTTTCAAAACTGCTTAATCAAAAGAAATGTTTAACTCTGTGACATGAGTGCACACATCCAAAGAAGTTTCTCGGATTGTTTCTGTCTAGATTTTATGTGAATATATTTCCTTTTCTACCATAGGCCACAAAGCACTCCAAATGTCCACTTGCAGATTCTACAAAAAGAGTGTTTCCAAACTGCTCAATCAACAAAAAGGTTCAACTCTGTGAGATGAACGCACACATCACAAAGTAGTTTCTCAGAATTCTTATGTCTAGTGTTTATGTGAAGATATTTCGTTTTCCACAACAGGCCTCAAGGAACTGGAAACGTTCACTTGCAGATTCTACAAAAACAGTATTTCAAAACTGGTCAATCAAAGGAAATATTCAACTGTGGGAAATGAATGTGCACATCACAAAGCAGTTTCTCAGAATGCTTTTATCTAGTTTTTATGTGAAGATATCTCCTTCTCCACAATAGGCCTCAAAGCGCCCCAAATGTCCAATTGCAGATACTACAAAAAGAGAGTTTCAAAATTGTTCAATCAAAAGAAAGCGTTAACTCTGTGAGAAGAATGCATACATCACAAAGAAGTTTCTAATATTGCTTCTGTCGAGATTTTTTTGTGATGATATTCCCTTTTCTACCACATGCGGCAAAGCGCTGCAAATGTCCACTTGCAGATTCTAGAAAGAGTGTTTCCAAACTGCTTAATCAAAAGAAAGTTTCAACTCTGTGAGATGAACACATGCATCACACAGAAGTTTCACAGAATTCTTCTGTCTAGTCTTTCTGTGAAGATATTTTCTTTTCCTCCACAGGCCTGAAAGTGCTCAAAATGTCCACTTGCAGATTCTACAAAAATAGAGTTTCAAAATTGCTCAATCAAAAGAAAGGTTTAACTCCATGAGGCGAATGCACACATCACAAAGAAGTTTCTCAGATTGCTTCTTTCTAGATTTTATGTGAAGATATTTCCTTTTGTACTAATAGGCTGAAAAGCGCTACAAATGTACACTTGCAGATTCCACAAAAAGATTGTTTCCAAACTGTTCAATCAAGAGAAAGGTTCAACTCTGTGAGGTGAATGCACACATCACAAAGAAATTTGTCAGAATACTTCTGCCTGGTTTTTATGTGAAGATATTACCTTTTCCATCATATCGCTCAAAGCGCTCCAAATGTCCACTTACAGATTCTACAAAAAGAGAGTTTCAAAACTGCTCTATCAAAACAAAGGTTTACATCTGTGAGATGAATGCACAAATCAAAAGAAGTTTCTCAGATTGCTTCTGTCTAGATATTATATGAAGATATTTCCTTTCCTACCATAAGCTGCAAAACGCTCCAAATGTCCACTTACAGATTCTATAAAAAGAGAATTTCAAAACTGCTCAATCAAAAGAAAGTTTTAACTCTGTGAGATGAATGCACCCATCACAAAGAAGTTTCTCAGATTGCTTCTGTCTAGATTTTATGTGGAGATATTTCCTTTTCCATCATAGACTGCAATGCGTTCCAAATGTCCACTTGCCGATTCTACAAAAAGAGTGTTTTCAAACTGCTAAATGAAAAGAAAGGTTCAACTCTGTGAGATGAATGCAAAGATCACAAAGAAGTTTCTCAGAATTCTTCTGTCTAGTTTTTAGTGTGAAGACATTTCCATTTCCACTATAGGCCTCCACGTGCTCCAAATGTCCACTTGCAGATTCTACAAAAAGAGTGTTTCAAACTGCTCAATCAAAAGAAAGGTTCAAGTCTGTGAGATAAATGCACACATCACAAAGAAGTTTGTCTGAATTCTTCTGTCTAGTTTTCATGAGAAGATACTTCCTTTTTCACCATAGGCCTGAAAGCACTCCAAATGTCCTCTTACAGATTTGACAAAAAGAGAGTTTCAAAACTGCTCAATCAAAAGAAAGGTTTAACTATGTAAGATGAATACAAACATCACAAAGAAGTTTCTCAGATTGCTTCTGTCTAGATTTTAAGTGAAAATATTTCCTTTTCTATCATAGGCCACAAAGCACTCCAAATGTTCACTTGCAGATTTTACAAAAAGAGAGTTTCGAAACTGCTCAATCAAAGGAAAAGTTTCACTCCGTGAGAAGAATGCACACATCAAAAAGAATATTCTCAGACTACTTCTGTCTAGATTTTATGCGAAGATATTTCCTTTTCTACCATAGACCGCATAGCTCTCCAAATGTGCACTTGCAGATTCTACAAAAAGAGTGTTTCCAAACTGCTCAATCAAAAGAAAGGTTCAACTCTGTGAGAAGAACGCACACATCACAAAGAAGTTTCTCAGAATTCTTCTGTCTAGTTTTTATGTGATGATATTTCCTTTTGCACCATGGGCCTCAAAGCGCTCCAATTGTTTACTTGAAGATTCTACAAAAAGAGAGTTTCAAAACTGATCAATCAAAAGAAAGGTTTAACTCTGAGATGAATGCACACATCACAAGTAAGTTTCTCACATTGCTTTTGTCTAGATTTTATGTGAAGTTATTTACTTTTCTACTATGGGACACAAAGTGCTCTAATTGTCCACCTGTAGATTCTACAAAAAGAGTATTTCCAAACTGCTCAATCCAAAGAAAGACTCAACTCTGTGAAATGAACTCACACATCACAAAGAAGTTTCTTAGGATTCTTCTGTTTAGTTTTTATGTGATGGCATTTCCTTTTCCAACATAGGATTCAGAGTGCTCCAAATGTCCACCTGCAGATTCTGCAAAAAGAGAGTTTCTAAAGTGCTCAATCAAAAGAGAGGCTTAACTCTGTGAGATGAATGCACACATTACAAAGAAGTTTCTCAGATTGTTTCGGTCTAGATTTTATGTGAAAATATTTCCTTTTCTATCATAGGCCACAAAGCACTCCAAATGTCTACTTGCCGATTCTACATAAAGAGTGTTTCCAAACTGCTGAATCAAAAGAAAGGTTCAATTCTGTGAGATGAATGCACACATCACAAAGCAGTTTCTCAGAATTCTTCTGTGTAGTTTTTATGTGAAGATATTTCCTTTTCAAACATAGGCCTTAAGGCGCTCAAAATGTCCACTTGCACATTCTATAAAAAGAGTATTTCAAAACTGGTCCTTTGAAAGAATGTTTCAGCTCTGGGAGATGAATGCACATATCACAAAGAAGTTTGCCAGAATGCTTCTATCAAGTTTTCATGTGAAGACATTTCCTCTTCTACCATAGGCCTAAAAGTGCTCCAAATGTCCACCTGCAGATTCTACAAAAAGAGAGTTTCAAAACTTCTCAATCAAAAGAAAGGGTTAACTCTGTGAGATGAATGCACACATCACGAAGAAGTTTCTCAGATTGCTTCTTTCTAAATTTGATGTGTAGATATTCCGTTTTTACCATTCGCTGCAAAGCGCACCAAATGTTCATTTGCAGATTCTAGAAAAAGAGTTTTTCCAAACTGCTCAATCAAAAGAAAGGTTCAACTCTGTGAGATTAACACACACATCACAAAGAAGTTTCCCAGAATTCTTCTGTCTAGTTTTTATGTGAAGATATTTCCTTTTCCACCACAGGTCTCAAAGTGCTCCAAATGTCCACTTGCAAATTCTATGAAAAGAGATTTTCAAAACTGCTCAACCAAAAGAAAGGTTTAACTCCGTTAGATGAATGCACACATCACAAAGGAGTTTCTCAGATTGCTTCTGTCTAGATTTTATGTGAAGATATTTCCTTTTCTAACATAGGCCACAAAGCGTTCCAAAAGTCCACTTGCAGATTCTACAAAAAGAGTGTTTCCAAGCTGCTCAATCAAAAGAAAGTTTCAATTCTGTGAGATGATCGCACACATCACAAAGAAGTTTCTCAGAATTCTTCTGTCTAGTTTTTATGTGAAGATATTTCGTTTTTCACCATAGGGCTCAAAGTGCTCCAAATGGCCACTTGCAGATTTTACAAAGAGAGAGTTTCAAAACTCCTCAATCAAAAGAAAGGTTTAACTCTCTTAGATGAATGCACACATCCAAGCAAGCTTCTCAGGTTGCTTCTGTCTGGATTTTATGTGAAGATATTTCCTTTTCTACCATAGGCCCCAAAGCACTCCAAATGTCCACTTGTAGATCCACAAAAAGAGAGTTTCCAAACTCCTCAATCAAAAGAAAGGTTTAACTCTCTGAGGTGAATGCACAAATCACAAAGAAGTTTCTCTGATTGCTTATGTCTAGATTTTATGTGAAGATAGTCCTTTTTCTACCGTAGGTGACAAAGCGCTCCAAATGTCCACTTGCAGATTCTACAAAAAGACAGTTTCCAAACTTCTCAATCTAAAAAATGGTTCAGCTCTGTGGGATGAACACACACATCGCATAGAAGTTGCTCAGAATACTTCTTTGCAGTTTTGTTGTGAAGATATTTCATTTTCCACAATAGGCCTCAAGGCACTCCAAATGACCAATTGCAAGTTCTACAAAAAGATTATTACAAAACTGGTCCATCAATAGAAAGGTTCAACTCTGGGAAATGAATGCACACATCACCAAGAGGTTGCTCAGAATGCTTCTATCTAGTTTTTATGTGAATATATTTTCCTTTGCAGCATGGGCCTCGAGGCGCTTCAAATGTCCACATGCAGATTTTATAAAAAGAGAGTTTTAAAACTGCTCAATCAAAAGAAATGTTTAACACTGTGAGATGAATGCACACAATAAGAAAAGCTTCCTCAGATTGCTTCTGTCTAGATTTTATGTGAAGATAATTCCTTTTCTACCATAGGCCGCAAAGCGCTCCACATGTTCACTTGCAGATTCTACAAAAAGAGTGTTTCCCATCTGCTCAATCAAAAGAAAGGTTCAACTCTGTCAGATGAACGCTGGCATCACAAAGAATTTTCTCAGAATTCTTCTGTCTACTTTTTATGTGAAGATATTTCCTTTTCTTCCATAGGCCTAAAAGCTCTCCAAATGTCCACTTGCAGATTCTACAAAAAGAGACTTCCAAAACTGCTCAATCAAAAGGAAGGTTTAACTCTGTGAGATGAATGCACATATCACAAAAAGTTTCTCAGATTGCTTCTGTCTAGATTTTATGTGAAGTTATTTCCTTTTCTACCATAGAACCCAAAGCACTTATAATGTCCCCTTGCAGATTCTACAAAAAGAATGTTTCAAAACTGCTCAATCAAAAGAAAGGTTCAAATTTGTGAGATGAATGCTCGCATCACCAAGAAGTTTCTCAAAATACTTCTGTCTAGTTTTTATGTGAAGACATTTCTTTTTCCGTGATAGGTCTCAAAATGATCAAAATTTCCACTTGCAAATTCTACAAAAAGAGAGTTTCAAAGCTGCTCAATCAAAAGAAAGGTTTATATCTGTGAGATGAACACACACTTCACAAAGCAGTTTCTAAGATTTCTTCTGCCTAGATTTTATGTAATGATATTTCCTTTTCTACCATACTTTGCAAACTGCTCCAAATGTCCACCTGTAGATTCTACAAAAACAGTGTTTCCAAACTGCTCAATCAAAAGAAAGGTTAACTCTGTGAGATGAACTCACACATCACAAAGAAGTTTCTCAGAATTCTTCTGTCTAGTTCTAATGTGAAGATATTTCCTTTTGGACCAGAGGCCCCAAGGCTATCGAAATGTCCCCTTGTAGATTCTACAAAAAGAGTATTTCAAAACTGGTCCATCAAGAGAAAGGCTCAACTCTGGGAGGTGAATGCACACATCACAAAGAAGTTTCTCAGAATGCTTCTATCTAGTTTTTACATGAAGCTATTTCCTTTTCCACCATAAGCCTCAAAGCGCTCCAAATGTCCACTTGCAGGTTCTGCAAAAAGAGAGTTTCCAAAGTTCTCAATCAAAAGAAACGGTTAACTCTGTGAGATAAATGCACACATCACAAAGAAGTTTCTCAGAATTTTTCTGTCTAGTTTTTGTGTGAAGATATTTCATTTTCCACCATAGGCCTCAAAGCGCTCCAAATGTCCACTTGCAGATTCTACAAAAAGAGAGTTTTAAAACTGCTCAATCAAAAGAAAGCTTTTACTCTGTGAGATGAATGCACCCATCACAAAGAATTTTCTCAGATTGCTTCTGTCTAGATTTTATGTGAAGATATTTCCTTTCCTACCGTAGGATGCAAAGCGCTCCAAATAGCCACACACAGATTCTACAATAAGAGTGTTTCAAAACTGCTCAATCAAAAGAAGGTTTAACTCTGTGAAATGAATGCACACATCACAAAGAAGTTTCTCAGAATTCTTCTGTCTAGTTTTTATGTGAAGATATTTCCTTTTCCACCTAAGGCCTCACAGCACTCCCAAAGTCAAATTGCAGATTCAACTAAAAGAGAGTTTCTTAACTGCTCAATCAAAAGAAATGTTCAACTCTGTGAGGTGAAAGCACACATCACAAAGAAGTTTCTCAGAATACTTCTGTGTATTTTTTATGTGAAGATATTTCCTTTTCCATCATAGGCCTCAATGCTCTCCAAAAGTCCACTTGCAGATCCTACAAAAAGAGAGTTTTAAAGCTGCTCAATCAAAAGAAGGGTTTCACTCTGTGAGATGAATGCACACATCACAAATAATTTTCTCAGACTGCTCTGTCTAGATTTTATGTGAAGTTATTTCCTTCTCTATCATAGGCCACAAAGTTTACAAATGTCCACTTGCAGATTCTACAAAAAGAGTGCTTCCAAACTGCTCAATCAAAAGAAAGGTTCAACTGTGCGAGATGAAATCACACACCACAAAGAAGTTTCTCAGAATTCTCCTGTCTAGTGTTTATGTGAAGATATTTCATTTTCCCCAATAGGCCTCAAGGCACTCCAAATGTCCACTTGCAGATTCTACAAAGAGAGTATTTCAAAAATGGTCCATCAAAAGAAAGTTTCAACTGTGGGAGACGAATTTACACGTCACAATGTAGTTTCTAAGAATGCTTCTTTCTAGTTTTTATGTGAATATATTGCCTTTTCCACCATAGTCCTCAAAGCGCTCCAAATGTCCACTTGTATATTCCACAAAAAGAGAGTTTCAAAAGTGCTCAATCTAAAGAAATGGTTAACTTTGGAGATGAATGCAAAAATCACAAAGAAGTTTTTCAGGTTGCTTCTGTCTAGATTTTATGTGAAGATATTTCCATTTCTACCTCAGGCCACAAAGTGCTCCAAATGTACACTTGCAGATAGTAGAAAAAGACTATTTCCAAACTGTTCAATCAAAACAAAGTTTCAACTCTGGGAAATGAATGCACACATCACTAGGAAGTTTCTCTGAATTCTTCTGTCTAGTTTTTATGTGAAGATATTTCCTTTTCCACCTTAGGCCTCAAGGTACTCGAAATGTCCACTTGCAGATTCTACAAAAACAGTATTCCAAAACTGGTCCTTCAAAAGAAAGTTTCAACTCTTGGAGATGAATGTACACATCACAAAGAAGTATCCCTGAATGCTTCTATCTAGTTTTTATGTGAAGATATTTGCTTTTCCACCATAGGCCTGAAAGCACTACAAATATCCACTTGCAGATTTTATAAAAAAAGTGTTTCAGAACTGCTCAATCGAATGAAAGGATTAACTCGGTGAGATGAATGCACACATCACAAAGAAGTTTCTCAGATTGCTTCTGTCTAGATTTCATGTGAAGATATTTCCTTTTCCACCATAGACCTCAAAATGCTCCAAATGTCCACTAGCAGAATCTACAAAAAGAGAGTTTCAAAACTACTCTATCAAAACAAAGGTTTAACTCTGTGACATGAATGTACACATCACAAAGTAGTTTCTCGTATTGCTTCTGTCTAGATTTTATGTGAATACATTTCCTTTTCTACCATAGACCATAAAGCGCTCCTAATGTCCACTTGCAGATTCTTTAAAAAGAGTGTTTCCAAACTGCTCAATCAAAAGAAAGTTTCAACTGTATGAGGTGAACACACACGTCACAAAGAAATTTCTCAGAATTCTTCTATCTAGTTTTTATGTGAAGATACTACCTTTTCCACCATAGGACTCAAAACGCTCCAAATGTCCACTTGCAGATTCTACAAAAAGAGAGTTTCAAAACTGCTCAATCAAAATAATGGTTAATTCTGTAAGATGAAGGCACACATCACAAAGGAATTTCTCATATTGCTTCTGCATAGATTTTATGTGAAGTTATTTCCTTTGCTGCTATACTCTGCAAAGAGCTCCAAATGTCCACTTGCAGATTCCACAAAAAGAGTGTTTCCAAACTGCTCAATCAAAAGAAAGTTTCAAAACTGTGAGATGAACACACACATCACAAGGTAGTTTCCCAGAATTTTTTTGTCTAGTTTTTATGTGAAGATACTTCCCTTTCCACCATAGGCTTCAAAGCACTCCAAATGTCTACTTGCAGATTCTACAAAAAGAGTATTTCAAAACTTTTCCATCAAAAGAAAGGTTCAACACTGGGAGATGAATGCACACATCACAAAGAACTTTATTGGAATGCTTCAATCTAGTTTTTATGTTAATATATTTCCTTTTCCACCATAGGCCTCAAAGCACTCCTAAGGTCCCCTTGCAGATTCTACAAAAGGAGAGTTTCAAAACTACTCAGTCAAAAGATAGGGTTAATTCTGTGAGGTGAATGCACACATCACAAAGTAGTTTCTCAGATTGCTTCTGTCAAGATTGTATGTGAAGATATTTCCTTTTCCACCGTAGGCCTCAAAGCGTTCCAAATGTTCACTTGAAGATTCTACAAAAAGAGAGTTTCAAAACTGCTCAATCAAAAGAAAGTTTTAACTCTGTGAGATGAATTCCCACATCACAAAGAAGTTTCTCAGGTTGCTTCTGTCTAGATTTTATGTGAAGATATTTCCTTTTCTACCATAGGCCGCAAAGCACTCAAATGTCCTCTTGTAGATTCTACAACAAGAGTGTTTCTAAACAGCTCAATCAACAGAAAGGTTTAACTCTGTGAGAGGAACGCTTATATCACAAAGAAGTTTCTCAGAATTCTTCTCTCTAGTTTTTATGTAAAGATAATTCATTTTTCACCAAAGGCCTCCAGGCACTCGAATTGTCCATTTGCAGATCCTATAAGAAGAGTATTTCAAAACTGGTCTATCAAAAAAAAAGGTTTAACTCTGAGAGATGAATGCAAACATCACAAAGAAGTTTCTCAGATTGCTTCAGGCTTGATTTTATGTGAAAATATTTCCTTTTCTACCATAGGCCGCAAAGAGCTCCAAATGTCCACGTGCAGATTCTCCAAAAAGAGTGGTTCCAAACTGCTGAATCAAAAGAAAGTTTCAACTCTGTGAGATGAACTCACACATAACAAAGAAGTTTCTCAGAATTCTTCTGTCTAGTTTTTATGTGAAGATATTTCATTTTCCTCCTTAAGCCTCAAGGTGCTCCAAAAGTCCACTTGCCGATTCTACAAAAAGAGTATTTCAAAACTGGTCCATCAAAAGAAATGTTCAACTCTGGGAGATGAATAGACACATCATAAAGTAGTTTCTCAGAATGCTTCTATCTAGTATTTATGTGAAGATATTTCCTTTTCTGCAATAGGCCTCAAAGCGCCCCAAATATCCACTTGCAGATTCTACAAAAAGAGAGTTTCAAAACTGCTCAATCAAAAGAAAGGGTTAACTCTGTGAGATGAATGCACACATCAGAGAGAAGATTTTCAGATTGTTTCTGTCTGGATTTTATGTGAAGATATTTCCTTTTCTACCTAAGGCTGCAAAGAGCTCCAAATGTCCACTTAGAGATTCTACAAAAAGAGGGCTTCAAAACTGCTCAAAGAAGGCTTCAAATCTGTGAGATGAACACACAAATCACCAAGAAGTTTGACAGAGTACTTCTGTCTAGTTTTTATCTGAAGATATTACCTATTCCACCATAGGCCTCAAAGCGCTCCAAATGTTCACTTGCAGATTCTACAAAAAGAGAGTTTCAAAACTGCTCTATCATAAGAAATGATTAACTCTGTGAGATGAATGCACGCATCACAAAGAAGTTTCTCAGATTGCTTCTGTCTAGATTTTATGTGATGACATTTTCTTTTCTACTATAGGCTGCAAAGCACTCAAAATGTCCATTTGCGGATACTACAAAAAGAGTATTTGCAAACTGCTCAATCAAAAGAAAGTTTCAACTCTGTGAGATGAACGCACACATCACAAAGAAGTGTCTCAGAATTCTTCTGAGTTTTTCATGTGACGATGTTTTTATGTGAAGATATTCCATTTTCCACCATTGTCCTCAAGGCACTCGAAATGTCCAGTTGCAGATTCTACCAAAAGAGTACTTCAAAACTGCTCCATCGAAAGAAAGGTTCAATCTGGGAGATGAACGCACTCTTCACAAAGAAGTTTCTTGGAATGCTTCTACTTAGTTTTTATGTGAAGATATTTCCTTTTCCACCATAGGCCTCAAAGAGCTCCAAATGCCGACTTGCAGATTCTACAAAAAGAGATTTTCAAAACTGCTCAACCAAAAGAAAGGTTTAACACAGTGAGATGAAAGCACACATCACAAAGAAGTTTCTCAGATGGCTTCTGTCCCGATGTTATGTCCAGATATTTCCAGTTCTACCACAGGCTTCAAATCACTCCAAGGTCCACTTGCAGATTCTACAAAAAGAGTGCTTTCAAACTGCATAATCAAAGGAAAGCTTCAGCTCTGTGAGATGAATGCACACCTCACAAAGAAATTTTACAAAATTCTTCTGTCTAGTTTTTATGTAAAGATACTTCCTCCTCCGCCATAGACCCCAAGTGCTCCAAATGTCCACTTGCAGATTCTACAAAAAGAGAGTTTCAAAACTGCTCAATCAAAAGAAATGCTTAACTCTGTGAGATGAATGCACACGTCACAAAGAAGTTTCTCAGATTTCTTCTGTCTAGATTTTATGTGAAGATAATTCCTTTTCCACCAAAGGCTGCAAAGCTCTCCAAATGTCCACTTTCAGATTCTGCAAAAAGAGTGTTTCCAAACTGCTCAATCAAAAGAAAGGTTCAACTCTGTGAGATGAATGCACACATCACAAAGAAGTTTCTCAGAATTCTTCTGTCTAGTTTTTATGTGAAGATACTTCCTTTTCTACCATAGGCCTCAAAACACTACAAGTGTCCACTTGCAGATTCTACAAAAAGACTGTTCCAAAACTGCTCAAACTAAAGAAAGGTTTAACTCTGTGAGATGAATGCACACATCACAAAGAAGTTTCTCAGATTGCTTCTTGTAGAATATATGAAAAGTTAATTCCTTTTCACCATAGGTCACAAAGCACTCAAAAAGTCCACTTGTAGATAATACAAGAGAGTTTCAAAACTGCTCAATCTAAAGAAAGGTTTAACTCTGTGGGATGAATGCACACATCACAAAGAAATTTCCAAGATTGCTTCTGTCTATATTTTATGTGAAGATATTTCCTTTTCTACCATAGGCCTCAAAGTGCTCCAAATGTCCACTTGCAGATTCTAGAAAAAGAGAGTTTCCACACTGCTAAATCAAAAGTAAGGTTCCACTCTGTGAGATGAGTGCACACATCACAAAGAAGTTTCTCAGAATGCTTCTTTCTCTTTATTATACGAAGATATTTCGTTATCCACCATAGGCCTCAAAGAGCTCCAAATGTCCACTTGCGGATTCTACAAAGAGAGTTTTTCAAAACTGCTCAATCAAAAGTAACGTTCAACTCTGTGAGGTGAATGCACACATCACAAAGATGTTTGTCAGAATGTGTCTGTCTAGATTTTATGTGAAGATATTTCCTTTTCTACCATAGGCCTCAAAGCGCTAGAAATGTCCACTTGCAGACTCCAGTAAAAGAGGTTTTCAAGCTGCTCAATCAAAATAAATGTTCAACTCTGTGAGATGAATGCACACATCACAAAGAAGTTTGTCAGAATGCTTCTGTCTAGTTCTTATGTGACGATATTTCCTTTTCCACCAAAGGCTTCAAAGCACTTCAAATGTCCAATCACAGATTTTACCAAAAGGGGGCTTCAAAACGGCTAAATCAAAAGTAAGTTTCAACTCTGTGAGATGAATGCACATATCTCAAAGAAGGTTGTCAGAATCCTTCTGTCTAGTTTTTATGTGAAGATATTTTCTTTTTACCATAGGCCTAAAAGTGCACAAAATGTCCACTTGCAGATTTTACAAAAAGAGTGCTTCGAAACTGCTAAATCAAAAGAAAGATTCAACTCTGTGGGATGAATGCACACATAACAAAGAAGTGTCTTAGAATGCTTCTGTCTAGTTATTATGTGAAGATATTTTGTTATCCACCATAGTCCTGAAAGTGCTCCAAATGTCCAATTGCAGATTCTACAAAGAGAGTGTTCTGGGAGGGGAAACAAGATAGCCAAATAGGAACAGCTCCGGACTACAGCTTCCTGTGTGAGTGACGCAGAAGATGGGTGATTTCTGCATTTCCATCTGAGGTACCGGGTTCATCTCACCAGTGAGTGCCAGACAGTGGGAGCAGGTCAGTGTGTGCGTGCACCGTGCACGAGCCAAAGCAGGGCGAGGCATTGCCTCACTCAGGAAGGACTAGGAGTCAGGGAGTTCCCTTTCCTAGTCAAAGAAAGGGGTGACAGACAGCACCTAGAATTCAGGTCACTCCCACCCGAATACTGCGCTTTTCCCACGGGCTTAAAAAACGCCACACGAAGAGATTATATCCCGCACCTGGCTCAGAGGGTCCTACGCCCATGGAGTCTCACTGATTGCTAGCACAGCTGTCTGAGATCAAACTGCAAGGAGGCAGCGAGGCTAGGGGAGGGGCGCCTGCCATTGCCCAGGCTTGCTTAGGTAAACAAAGCAGCTGGGAAGCTCGAACTGGGTGGAGCCCACCACAGCTCAAGGAGGCCTGCCTGCCTCTGTAGGCTCCACCTCTGGGGGCAGGACACAGATAAACAAAAAGACAGCAGTGACCTCTGCAGACTTAAATGTCCCTGTCTGACAGCTTTCAAGAGAGCAGTGGTTCTCCCAGCACGCAGCTGGAGATCTAAGCATGGGCAGACTGCCTCCTCAAGTGGGGCCCTGACCCCTGACCCCTGAGCAGCCTAACTAGGAGGCACCCAACCAGCAGGGGCAGACTGACACTTCACACGGCCAGGTACTCCTACAGACGTGCAGCTGAGGGTCCTGTTTGTTAGAAGGAAAACTAACAAACAGAAAGGACATCCACAGCAAAATCCCATCTGTACATCACCATTATCAAAGACCAAAAGTAGATAAAAACCCAAAGGTGGGGAAAAAACAAAACAGAAAAACTGGAAAATCTAAAAAGCAGAGCGCCTCTCCTCCTCCAAAGGAATGTAGTTCCTCACCAGCAACGGAACAAAGCTGGATGGAGAATGACTTTGACTAGCTGAGAGAAGAAGGCTCCAGACGATCAAATTACTCCGAGTTACAGAAGGACATTCAAACCAAAGGCAAAGAAGTTGAAAACATTGAAAAAAATTTAGAAGGATGTATAACTAGAATAATCAACACAGAGAAGTGCTTAAAGGAGCTGATGGAGCTGAAAGCCAAAGTTCAAGAAGTACGTGAAGAATGCAGAAGCCTCAGGAGCTGATATGATCAACTGGAAGAAACAGTATCAGCAATGGAAGATGAAGTGGATGAAATGAAGCAAGAAAGGAAATTTAGAGAAAAAAGAATAAAAAGAAATAAGTAAAGCCTCCAAGAAATATGGGACTATGTGAAAACACCAAATCTACGTCTGATTGGTGTACCTGAAAGTGATGGGGAGAATGAAACCAAGTTGGAAAACACTCTGCACGATATTATCCAAGAGAACTTCCCCAATCTAGCAAGGCAGGCCAACATTCAGATTCAGGAAATATAGAGAACACCATAAAGATACTCCTCGAGAACAGCAACTCCAAGACACATAATTGTCAGATTCACCAAAGTTGAAATGAAGGAAAAAATGTTAAGGGCAGCCAAAGAGAAAGGTTGGGTTACCCTCAAAGGGAAGCCCATCAGACTAACAACAGATCTCTTGGCAGAAACTCTACAAGCCAGAAGAGAGTGGGGGGCAATATTCAACATTCTTAAAGAAAATAATTTTCAACCCAGAATTTCATATCCAGCCAAACTAAGCTTCATAAGTGAAGGAGAAATAAAATACTTTACAGACAAGCAAATGTTGAGAGATTTTGTCACCACCAGGCCTGCCCAAAAGGACCTCCTTAAGGAAGCACTAAATATGGAGAAGAACAACCGGTACCAGCCGTGGCAAAATCATGCCAAAATGTAAAGGCCATCATGACTAGGAAGAACCTGCATCAACTAACGAACAAAATAACCAGCTAACATCATAAGGACAGGATCAAATTTACACATAACAATATTAACTTTAAATGTAAATGGACTAAATACTCCAATTAAAAGACACAGACTGGCAATCTGGATAAAGAGTCAAGACTCATCAGTATGCTATATTCAGGAAACCCATCTCATGTGCAGAGACACACATAGGCTCAAAATAAAAGGATGAAGGAAGATCTACCATGCAAATGGAAAACAAAAAAAGGCAGGGATTGCAATCCTAGTCTCTTATAAACAGATTTTAAACCAACAAAGATCAAAAGAGACAAAGAAGGCCATTACTTAATAGTAAAGGGATCAATTCAACAAGAAGAGCTAACTATCCTAAATATATATGCACCCAATACAGGGGCACCCAGATTCATAAAGCAAGTCCTGACTGACCTACAAAAAGACTTAGACTCCCACACATTAATAATGGGAGACTTTAACACTAAACTGTCAACATTAGACAGATCAACAAGACAGAAAGTCAACAAGGATACCCAGGAATTGAACTCAGCTCTGCACCAAGCTGACCTAATAGACATCTACAGAACTGTCCACCCCAAATTGACAGAATATACATTTTTTCATCACCACACCACACCTATTCCAAAATTGACCACATACTTGGAAGTAAAGCTCTCCTCAGCAAATGTAAAAGAACAGAAATTATAAAAAACTATCTCTCAGACCACAGGGCAATCAAACTAGAACTCAGGATTAAGAATCTCACTCAAAACCGCTCAACTACATGGAAACTGTACAACTTGCTCCTGAATGACTACTGGGTACATAACGAAATGAAGGCATAAATAAAGATGTTCTTTGAAACCAATGAGAACAAATACACAACATACCAGAATCTCTGGGACGCATTCAAAGCAGTGTGTAGAGGGAAATTTATAGCACTAAATACCCACAAGAGAAAGCAGGAAAGATCCAACATTGACACCCTAACATCACAATTAAAAGAAGCAGAAAAGCAAGAGCAAACACATTCAAAAGCTAGCAGAAGGCAAGAAATAACTAAAATCATAGCAGAACTGAAGGAAATAGAGACACAAAAAACCCTTCAAAAAACTAACGAATCCAGGAACTGGTTTTTTGAAAAGATCAATAAAATTGATAGACCGCTAGCAAGACTAATAAAGGAAAAAAGAGAGAATAATCAAATAGATGCAACAAAAAATGATAAAGGGGATATCACCACCAATCCCACAGAAATACGAACTACCATCAGAGAATACTACATACACCTCTATGCAAATAAACTAGAAAATCTAGAAGAAATGGATAAATTCCTTGACACATACACTCTCCCAAGACTAAACTAGGAAGAAGTTGAATCTCTTAATAGACCAATAACAGGAGCTGAAATTGTGGCAATAATCAATAGATTACCAATGAAAAAGAGTCCAGGACCAGATGGATTCAGAGCCGAGTTCTACCAGAGGTACAAGGAGGAAATGGTACTGTTCCTTCTGAAAATATTCCAATGAATAGAAAAAGAGGGAATCCTCCTTAACTCATTTTATGAGGCCAGCATCATCCTGATACCAAAATCGGGCAGAAACACAACCAAAAAAGAGAATTTTAGACCAATATCCTTGATGAACATTGATGTAAAAATCCTCAATAAAATACTGGCAAACCGAATCTAGCAGCACATCAAAAAGCTTATCCACCATGATCAAGTGGGCTTCATCCCTGGGATGCAAGGCTGGTTCAATTTATGCAAATCAATAAATGTAATCCAGCATATAACAGAACCAAAGACAAAAACCACATGATTATCTCAATAGATGCAGAAAAAGCCTTTGACAAACTTCAACACTGCTTCATCCTAAAAACTCTCAATAAAATAGGTATTGATGGGACACATTTCAAAATAATAAGAGCTATCTATGACAAACCCACAGCCAATATCATACTGAATGGGCAAAAACTGGAAGCATTCCCTTTGAAAACTGGCACAAGACAGGGATGCCCTCTCTCACCACTCCTATTCAACATAGTGTTGGAAGTTCTGGCCAGGGCAATTAGGCAGGAGAAGGAAATAAATGGTATTCAATTAGGAAAAGAGGAAGTCAAATTGTCCCTGTTTGCAGACGACATGATTGTATATCTAGAAAACCCCATTGTCTCAACCCAAAATCTCCTTAAGCTGATAAGCAACTTCAGCAAAGTCTCAGGATACAAAATCAATGTACAAAAATCACAAGCATTCTTATATACGAACAACAGACAAACAGAGAGCCAAATCATGAGTGAACTCCCATTCACAATTGCTTCAAAGAGAAAAAAAAAAATACCTAGGAATCCAACTTACAAGGGATGTGTAGGACCTCTTCAAGGAGAACTACAAACCACTGCTCAAGCAAATAAAAGAGGACACAAACAAATGGAAGAACATTCCATGCTCATGGCTAGGAAGAATCAATATCGTGAAAATGGCCATACTGCCCAAGGTAATTTACAGATTCAATGCCATCTTCATCAAGCTACCAATGACTTTCTTCACAGAATTGGAAAAAACTACTTTAAAGTTCACATGGAATCAAAAAAGAGCCCGCATCACCAAGTCAATCCTGAGACAAAAGAACAAAGCTGGAGGCATCATGCTACCTGAGTTCAGACTGTACTACAAGGCTACAGTAACCAAAACAGCATGGTACTGGTACCAAAACAGAGATATAGGTCAATGGAACAGAACAGAGCCCTCAGAAATAATGCCGCATACCTACAACTATCTGATCTTTGACAAACCTGAGAAAAACAAGCAATGGGGAAAGGATTCCCTATTTAATAAATGGTGCTGGGAAAACTGGCTAGCCATATGTAGAAAGCTGAAACTGGATCCCTTCCTTACACCTTATACAAAAATTAATTCAAAATGGATTAAAGACTTAAACGTTAGACCTAAAACCATAAAAACCCTAGAAGAAAACCTAGGCATTAACATTCAGGACATAGGCATGGGCAAGAACTTCATGTCTAAAACACCAAAAGCAATGACAACAAAAGCCAAAATTGACAAATTGGATCTAATTAAACTAAAGAGCTTCTGCACAGCAAAAGAAACTACCATCAGAGTGAACAGGCAACCTACAAAATGGGAGAAAATTTTCGCAACCTACTCATCTGACAAAGGGCTAATATCCGGAATCTACAATGAACTCAAACAAATTTACAAGAAAAAAACAAACAACCCCATCAAAAAGTGGATGAATGACATGAACAGACACTTCTCAAAAGAAGACATTTATGCAGCCAAAAAACACATGAAAAAATGCTCACCATCACTGGCCATCAGAGAAATGCAAATCAAAACCACAATGAGATGTCGTTTCACACCAGTTAGAATGGCAATCATCAAAAAGTCAGGAAACAACAGGTGCTGGAGAGGATGTGGAGAAACAGGAACACTTTTACACTGTTGGTGGGACTGTAAACTAGTTCAACGATTGTGGAAGTCAGTGTGGCGATTCCTCAGGGATCTAGAACTAGAAATAGCATTTGACCCAGCCATCCCATTACTGGGTATATACCCAAAGGAATATAAATCATTCTGCTATAAAGACACATGCACACGTATGTTTATGGTGGCATTATTCACAAGAGCAAAGACTTGGAACCAATCCAAATGTCCCACAATAATAGATTGGATTAAGAAAATGTGGCACATATACACCATGGAATACTATACAGCCATAAAAAATGATGAGTTCATGTCCTTTGTAGGGACAAGGATGAAATTGGAAATCATCATTCTCAGTAAACTATCACAAGAACAAGAAAACAAACACCGCATATTCTCACTCATAGGTGGGAATTGAACAATGAGAACACATAAACACAGGAAGCAGAACATCACACTCTGGGGACTGTTGTGGGGTGGTGGGATGGGTGAAGGATACCACTGGGATATACACCTAATGATAGATGATGAGTTAGTGGGTGCAGCGCACCAGCATGGCACATGTAAACATATGTAGCTAACCTGCACATTGTGCACATGTACCCTTAAACTTAAAGTATAATAATAAAGTAAATAAATAAAATAAATAAATAAATCTATGAACATAAAGAAAATAAAACCCAAACTGCTCTTTAAAAAAAAAAAACTTGACAGAAAAATTCTGAGAAACTTCTTTGTGATGTGTGCGTTCACCTCACAGAGTTCAACCTTTCTTTTGATTGAGCAGTTTGGAAATACTCTTTTTGTAGAATCTGCAGGTGCACATTTAGAGTGCTTTGCGGCCTATGGTAGAAAAGGAAATATCTTCACATAAAATTTAGACAGAAGCAATCTGAGAAACTTCTTTGTAATATGTGCATTGGTATCACAGACTTAAACCTTTCTTTTGATAGAGCAATTTTGAAACTCTCTTTTTGTAGAATCTGCAAGTGTACATTGGAGCACTTTGAGGCCTATGGTGGAAAAGGTAATATCTTCAACATAAAAACTAGACCGAAGAATTTCGATAAACTTCTTTGTGATGTGTGCGTTCATTTCACAGAGTTGAACCTCTCTTTTGATGGAGCAGTTTGGAAACACTCTTAATGTAGAATCTTCAAGTGTACATTTGCAGCGCTCAGTGACCTATGGTACAAAAGGAAGTTTTTTCTTATGAAACCTAGACAGAAGCAGTCTCAGAAACTTCTTTGTGATGTGTGCATTCAACTCACACAGCTAAAACTTCCTTTTGATTGAGCAGTTTAGAAACTCCCTTTTGTAGAATCTGCAAGTGTACATTTGAAGCGCTTTGAGGCCTATGGTGGAAAAGGTAATATCTTCACATAAAAACCAGACAGAAGAATTCTGAGAAACTTCTTTGTGATATCTGCGTTCATCTCACAGATTTGAACCTTTCTTTTGATTGCGCAGTTTGGAATCACTCTTTTTGTAGAAACTGCAAGTGGACATTTGGAGCGCTTTGTGGCCTATGGTAGAAAACGTAATATCTTCACATAAATTCCAGACAGAAGCAATCTGAGAAACTACTTTGTGATGTGTGCATTCATGTCACAGAGTTAAACCTTTCTTTTGATTGAGCAGTTTAGAAACTCTCTTTTTCTAAAATGAGATGCATGCATTCATCTCACAGAGATAAAACTTGCAGATAGAATCTGCAAGTAGACATTTGGAGAACTTTGTGGCCTATGGTAGAAAAGGAAATATCTGCGCATAAAAACTAGATAGAAGAATTCTGAGAAACTTCTTTGTGATGTGTGCGTTCATCTCATGGAGTTGAATCTTACTTTTGATTGAGCAGTTCAGAAACCCTCTTTTTGTATAATCTGCAAGTAGATATATGGAGCGCTATGTGGCCTATGGTTGAAAAGGAAATATCTTCACATAAAATCTAGACAGAAGCAATCTGAGAAACTTCTTTGTGATGGGTGCATTCATCTCACAGAGATAAAAATTTCTTTTGATTGAGCAGTTTTGAAAATCTCTTTTATTTGAATCTGCAAATGGACATTAGGAGTGCTTTGTGGCCAATGGTGGAAAAGGAAATATCTTCACATAAAAACTAGACAGTAGAATTCTGAGAAACTTCTTTGTGAAGTGTGCGTTCATTTCACAATGTTGAACCTTTCTTTAGATTGAGCAGTATGGAAACACTCTTTTTGTAGAATCTGCAAGTGGACATTTGGAGAACTTTGTGTCCTATGGCAGAAAAGGAAATATCTTCAAATAAAATCTAGACAGAAGCAATCTGAGAAACTTCTTTGTGATGTGAGCATTCATCTCAAAGAGTTAAAGCTTTCTTTTGATTGAGGAGTTTTGAAACTCTCTTTTTGTAGAATCTGCAAGTGGACATTTGGAGCGCTTTGAAGCCTATCATGGAAAAGGAAATATCTTCACATAAAAACCAGGCAGAAAAATTCTGAGAAATGTCTTTGCAATGTGAGGGTTCATGTCACAGAGTTGAACCTTTCTTTTGATTGAGCAGTTTGGAAACACTCTTTTTGTAGAATCTGCTAGTGGACATTTGGAGCACTTTGTGGCCTATGGTAGAAAAGGAAATATCTTCACATAAAATATAGACAGAAGCAATCTGAGAAACTTCTTTGTAATGTGTGTGTTCATCTCACAGAGTTAAATCTTACTTTTGATTGAGCAGTTTTGAAACTCCCTTTTTGTAGAATCTGCAACTGTATATTTGGAATGCTTTGGGGCCTATGGTGGAACAGGAAATATCTTCACATAAAAACTATACAGAAGAAATTTCAGAAACTACTTCATAATGTGTGCCTTCATCTTACAGAGTTGAAACTTTCTTTGATAGAGCAGTAGGGAAACACTCTTTTTGTAGAATCTGCAAGTGGACATTTGGAGCGCTTTGCGGCCTATTGTAAAAAAGGAAATATCTTCACATAAAATCTAGACAGAAGAAATCTGAGAAACTTCCTTGTGATGTGGGCATTCATCTCACAGAGTTAAACCTTTCTTTTGATAGTGCAGATTTGAAACTCACTTTTTGTAGAATGTGCAAGTAGACATTTCGATTTCTTTGTGGCCCATGGTAGAAAAGGAAATATCACATAAATACTAGACAGAAGCAACCTGAGAAACTTCTTTGTGATGTGTGAATTCATCTCACAGACTTAAACCTTTCTTTTGATAGAGCAGTTTTGAAACTCTCCTTTTGTAGAATCTGCAAGTGGACATTTGGAGTGCTTTTTGGCCTATGTAAGAAAAGGAAATATCTTCACATAAAATCTAGACAGAAGCAACCTGGGAAACTTCTTTGTGATGTGTGCGTTCATCTCACAGAGTTGAAACTTTCTTTTGATTGAGCAGTTTGGAAACACTTCTTGTAGAATCTGCAAGTGGACATTTGGAGCGTTTTGCGGCCTATGGTAGAAAAGGAAATATCTTCACATAAAAAGTAGACAGAAGAATTCTGAGAAAGTTCTCTGTGATGTGTGCATTCATCTAACAGAGTTGAAACTTTCATTTGATGAAGCAGTTTGGAAATATTCTTTTTGTAGAACCTGCAATTGGACATTGGGAGTGCTTTGTGGCCTATGGTAGGAAAGGAAATATCTTCACATAACATCTAGACAGAAGCAATCAGAGAAACTTCTTTGTGATGTGTGCATTCATCTCACAGATTTAAAACTTGGTTTTGATTGAGCAGTTTTCAAACTCCTTTTTGTAGAATCTGCAAGTGAACATTTGTAGTGCTTTGAGAGCTAAGGTGGAAAAGGAACATAAAAACTAGACAGGGAATTCTGAGAAGCTTCTTTGTGATGTGTGCATTCATCTCACAGAGTTGAACTTTTCTTTTGATAGAGCTGTTTGGAAACATTCTTTTTGTAGAATCTGCAAGTGGATATTTGGAGCACATTGAGACCTCTGGTAAAAAAGGAAATATCTTCACACAAAATCTAGACAGAAGGAATCTGAGAAACTTCTCTGTGATGTATGCATTCATCTCACAGTGTTAAACCTTTCTTTTGATAGAGTTGTTTTGAAACTCTCTTTTTGTAGAATCTACAAGTGGAGCGCCTTGAGTCCTATGGTAGAAAAGGTTAATATCTTCACATAAAAACTGGACAGAAAAATTCAGAAAAACCTCTTTGTGATGGGTGCTTACATCTCACAGAGTAGGACCTTACTTTTGATGGACCAGTTTTGAAATATTCTTTTTGTAGAATCTGCAAGTGGGCATTTCGAGCGCCTTGAGGCCTATGGTCGAAAATGAAATATATTCACATAAAAACTATATGGAATAATTCTGAGAAACTGCTTTGTGATGCGTGCAGTCATCTCACAGAGTTGAACCTCTATTTTGATTGAGCAGTTTGGAAACACTCTTTTTGTACAATCTGCAAGTGGGAATTTGGACCGCTTTGTGGCCTATGGTAGAAAAGGAAATATCTTCACATAAAATCTAGACAAAAGAAATCTGAAAAAACTTCGTTGTGATGTATGCATTCATCTCACAGAGATAAAACTTTCTTTTGATAGAGCAGTTTTGAAACTCTCTTCAGTCTCTTCTTGTAGAATCTGGAAGTGGAGCACTTTGAGGCCTATGGTGGAAAAGGTAATATCTTCAAATCAAAACTAGATAGAAGAATTCTGACAAACTTCTTTGTGATGTGTGCATGCATCTCACAGAGTTGAACCTTACTTTTCATGGACAAGTTTTGAAATATTCTTTTTGTAGTATCTGCAAGTGGGCATTTCGAGCGCCTTGAGGCCAATGGTCGAAAATGAAATATCTTCACATAAAAACTAGACAGAAGAATTCTGAGAAACTTCTTTGTGATGTGTGATTTAATTCCACAGAGTTGAACCTTTCTTTTGATTGAGCAGTTGGGAAACACTCTTTTAGTAGAATCTGCAAGTGGATATTTGGATCGCTTTGTGGCCCATGCTAGAAAAGAAAACATCTTCCCATGAAATCTAGACAGAAGGAATCTGAGAAACTACTTACTGATGTGTGCATTCATCTCACGGAGTTGAACCATTCTTATGATTGAGAAGTTTTGAAACGTTCTTTTTGTAGAATCTGCAAGTGGACATTTGTAGCGCTTTGAGGCTTATGGTGGAAAAGGAAGTATATTCACATAAAAAATGAGACAGAAGATTTCTGAGAAACTTCTTTGTGATGTGTTCATTCATCTCACAGAGTTGAATCTTACATTTAATTGAGCAGTTTGGAAACACTCTTTTTGTGGAATCTGCAAGTGGACACTTGAATTGTTTGGGGCCTATTATAGAAAAGGGAATATCTTCACATAAAATGTAGACAAAAGCAGTCTGATAAACTTATTTGTGATATGTGCATTCATCTCACAGTTTTAAAACTTTCTTTTGATGGAGCAGTTTGGAAACACTCATTTTGTAGAATCTGCAATTGTACATTTGGAGTGCTATGAGGCCTATGGTGGAAAATGAAATATCTTCACATTAAAACTGGAAAGAAGAATTCTGAGAAACTTCTTTGTGATGCGTCAATTCATCTCACAGAGATGAACTATTTTTGATTGAGCAGGTTGGAAACACTCTTTTTGTAGAGTCTGCAAGTTGACACTTGTAGCGCTTTGTGTCCTATGTTAGAAAAGGAAATATCTTCACATAAAATCTAGACAGAAGCAATCTGAGAAACTTCTTTGTGATCTGTTCATTCATTTCACAGAGTCGAAACTTTCTTTTGATTGAGCAGTTTTGAAACTGTCTTTTTGTAGAATCTGCAAGTGGATATTTGGAGCTCTTTGAGGCCTACAGTGGAAAAGGAAATATCTTCACATAAAAACTAGACAGAAGAATTCTGAGAAACATCTTTATGATGTGTTCATTCATCTCACAGAGTTGAACTTTTCTTTTGATTGAGCAGTTTGGAAATACTCTTTGCGCAGAATCTGCAAGTGGACATTTGGTGTGCTTTGCGGCCTATTATAAAAAAGGAAATATCTTCCAATAAAATCTAGGCAGAAGTAATCTGTGAAATTTCTTTGTGATGTGTGCATTCATGTCACTGAGTTAAACCTTTCTTTTGATAGAGCAGTTTTGAAACTCTCTTTTTTTGTAGAATCTGCAAGTGGACATTTGGAGTGCTTTGAGGCCCATGGTGGAAAAGGCAATATCTTCACATAAAAACTAGACAGAAGAATTCTGACAAACATTTTTGTGATGTGTGTGTTCATCTCACAGAGTAGAACAATTCTTTTAATTCAGCAGTTTGGAAAGACTGTTTTTGTAGAATCTGGAAGTGGACATTTGGAATGCTTTGCGGCCTATGGAAGAAAAGGAAATATCTTCATATAAAATCTAGACAGAAGCAATCTGAGCAACTTTTTATGATGTGTGCATTCATCTCACAGAGTTAAACCTTTCTTTTGATTAGGCAGTTTTGAAATTCTCTTTTTGTAGAATCTGCAAGTGGTTATTTGGAACACTTTGAGGCCTATGTTGGAAAAGGAAATATTTTCACATAAAATCTAGACAGAAGAATTCTGAGAAACTTCTTCATGATGTGTGTCTTCATCTCACAGAGTTGAACCGTTCTTTTGATTGAGCAGTTTGGAAACACTCCTTTTGTAGAATCTGGAAGTGGACATTTGGAGAGCTTTGAGGCCTATGGTGGAAAAGGAAATATCTTCACAAAAACTAGACAGAAGAATTCTGAAAAACTTCTTTGTGATGTGTTCGTTTATCTCACAGAGTTTAACCTTTCTTTTCATTGAGCAGTTTGGAAACAATCTTTTTGTAGAATCTGCATGTGGATGTTTGGAGCACATTGTGGCTTATTTTAGAAAAGGAAATATCTTCACATAAAATCAAAGCAGAAGCAATCTGAAAAACTTCCTTCTGATGTGTGCATTCATCTCACAGAGTTATTCCTTTCTTTTGATAGAGCAGTTTTGAAACTCTCTTTTTGTGGAATCTGAAAGTGGTCATTTGGAAGGCTTTGAAGCCTATGGTGGAAAAGGAAATATCTTCACATAAAAACTAGACAAAAGCATTCTGGGAAACTTCTTTGTGATTTGTGCCTTCATCGAGTTGAAGCTTTCCTTTCATTGAGCAGCTTGGAAACACACTTTTTGTAGAATCTGCAAGCGGACATTTGGAGCACTTGCGGCCTATGGTAGAAAAGGAAATAACTTCACATAAAATCTAGACAGAATCAATCTGAGAAACTTCTTTGTGATGTGTGCATTCATCTCAGAGAGTTAAACCTTTCTTTTGATTGAGCAGTATGTAAACTCTCTTTTTGTAGGATCTGCAAGTGGACATTTGGAGCGCTTTGAGGCCTATGGTGGAAAAGTAAATATCTTCACATAAAAACAAGACAGAAGAATTCTGAGAAACTTCTTTGTGATGTGTGCGTTCATCTCACAGAGTTGAACATTTCTTTTGATTGAGCAGTTTGGAAACACTTTTTGTAGAATCTGCAAGTGGACATTTTGAGCGGTTTGTGGCCTATTTTAGAAAAGGAAATATCTTCACATAAAATCTAGACATAAGCAATCTGAGAAACTTCTTTGTGATCTGTGCATTCATCTCACAGAGTTAAACCTTTCTTTTGATTGAGCAGTATTGAAACTCTCTTTTTGTAGGATCTGCAAGTGGACATTTGGAGCGCTTTGAGGCCTATGGTGGAAAAGTAAATATCTTCACATAAAAACTAGACAGAAGAATTCTGAGAAACGTCTTCGTGATATGTGTGTTCATCTCACACAGTTGAGCCTTTTTTTTTGATTAAATAGTTTGGTAATACTCTTTTTGTAGAAATTGCAAGTGGACATTTGGAGCGCTTTGTGGCCTCTGGTAGAAAAGGAAATACCTTCACATAAAAAATAGACAGAAGAATTCTGAGAAACTTCTTTGTGATGTGTCAATTCATCTCACAGAGTTGAACATTCCTTTTGATTGAGCTGTTTGGAAACACTCCTTTTGCAGAATCTGGAAGTGGACTTTTGGAGCACTTTGAGGCCTATGGTGGAAAAGGAAATATCTTCATGTGAAATCTAGACAGAAGCAATCTGAGAAACTTCTTTGTGATGTGTGCATTCACCTCACAGAGTTAAAACTTTGTTTTGATTGAGGAGTTTTGAAACTCTCTTTTTATAGAATCTGCAAGTGGACATTTGAAGCGCTTTGAGGCTTATGGTGGAAAAAAAATATCATCACATAAAAACCAGACGGAAAAATTCTGACAAATGGCTTTTTGATGTGTGCATTCATCCCACTGAGTTGAAACTTACTTTGCTTTGAGCAGTTTTGGAACACTGTTTTTGTGGAATGTGCAAGTTTACCTTTGAAGCGCTTTGAGGCCTTTGGTGGATAACGAACTATCTTCATATAATAACTAGACAGAAGCATTCTGAGAAACTTCTTTGTGATGTGTGCATTCATCTGACAGAATTGAAACTTTCTTTTGATTGGGCAGTTTTGAAACACTCCTTTTGTAGAATCTGCAAGTGGACATTTGGAGCTCTTTGGGACCTATTGTGGAAAAGGAAATATCTTCACATAAAAACTACATAGAAGCATTCTGAGAGCCTTCTTTGTGATGAGTGCCTTCATCTGACAGGGTTTATCCTTTGTTTTGATTGAGTACTCTTGAAACACTGTTTTTGAGGTGTCTGCAAGTGGGATACTGGGAGCACTTTCAGGCCTACTGTGGAAAAGCAAATATCTTCACATAAAAACTACACAGAAGCATTCTGAGAAACTTCTTGGTGATGTGTGCATTCATCTCACAGAGTTGAACCTTTCTTTTGATTGAGAGTTTTTGAAACATGCTTTTTGTAGTATCTGCAAGTGGATATTTGGAGCGATTTGAGGCCTATTGTGGAAAACCAAATATCTTCCTATAAAAACTACACAGAAACATTCTGAGAAACTTCTTTGTGATGTGTGCATTCACCTCACAGAGTGGAACCTATCTTTTGATTAAGCAGTTTTGAATCTCTCTGTTTGAAGAATCTGAAAGTGGATATTTGGAGACCTTGGAGGCCGATGTTGGAAAAGGAAATATCTTCAAATAAAAATTACACAGAAGCATTCTGAGAAACATTTGTGATGTGTGCATTCATCTCACAGTGTTGAAACTATGTTATGATTGAGCGGTTTTGAAACACTCTTATTGTAGAATCTGAAGGTGGATACTTGGGCCACTTTGAGGCCTATGGTAGAAAAGGAAATATCTTCACACAAAAACTACACAGAAGCATTCTGAGAAACTTCTTTGTTATGTATGCATTCATCTCACTTTGTTGATCTTTTCTTTTGATTGAGCAGTTTTGATACACGTTTTTTCAGCTAATGCAAGTGGATATTTGGAGCGCCTTGAGGCCTAATGTGGAAAACCGAATATCTTCACATAAAAACTACATAGAAGCATTCTGAGAAACTTCTTTGTGATGTGTGCATACATCTTCCAGAGTTGAAACTTTCTTTTGATTGTGTAGTTTTGAAACACTCTTTTTTTAGAATCTGCAAGTGGGTATTTGGAGGGATTTGAAGCCTATTGTTGAAAAGGTAATATCTTCGCATAAAAACTATGCAGAATCATTCGGAGAAACTTCTTTGTGATGTGTGCTTTCAACTCACAGAGTTGAACCTATCTTTTGATTGAGCAGTTTTGAAACACTCTTTTCGTAGAATCTGCAAGTGGATACTTGGAGTGGTTTGGGGTCTACTGTGATGAAGGAAATATCTTCACATAAAAACTACACAGAAGTATTCTGAGAAACTTCTTTGTGATGTGTGCATTCAACTCATGGAGTTAATCCTGTATTTTGATTGAGCAGTTTTGAATCTCTCTTTTAGCAGAATCTGCAAGTGGATATTTGGAGAGCTTTGAGTCCTAATGTGAAAAGGAAATATCATCAAATTAAAACTATACAGAAGCATTCTGAGAAACATATTTGTGATGTGTGCATTCAACTCACAGAGTTGAACCTATCTTTTGATTGAGCAGTTTTGAATCTCTGTTTTGGTAGAATCTGCAAGTCGATATTTGGAGCCCTTTGATGTCTATGGTGGAAAAGGAAATACCTTCAAATAAAAACTACACAAAAGCATTCTGAGAAGCTTATTTGCGATGTGTGCATTCATCTCACTTGGTTGAACCAATCTTATGATTGAACAGTTTTAAAACACTCTTTTTGTAGAATTTCTAAGTGGTTATTTGGAGCGTTTTGAGGCCTATAGTGGAAAAGGAAATATCTTCACATAAAAACTACAGAGAAGCATTCTGAGAAACTTCTTTGTGATCTGTGCACTCATCTCACAGAGTTGATCCTTTCTTTTGATTGAGCAGTTTTGAAAATCTCTTTTTGCAGAATCTGCAAGTGGACATTTGGAGCACTTTGAGGCCTATGGTCTGAAAAGAAATACCTTTACATGAAAACAAGATAGAAGAATTCTGAGAAACTTCTTTGTGATGTGTGCCTTCAACTCACAGAGTTGAACTTATCTTTGGATTGAGCAGTTTTGAATCTTTCCTTTGTAGAATCTGCAAGTGGATATTTGGAGCCCGTTTTGCCTTGTGGTGTAAAAGGAAATATCTTCACATAAAAACTACACAGAAGCATTCTGAAAAAACTTCTTTGTGACGTGTGCATTCATCTCACAGTGTTGACCCCGTCTTTTGATTGAGCAGTTTTGAAGCACTATTTTCATAGAATCTGCAAGTGGATATTTGGAGCCCTTTGCAGCCTACGGTGGAAAAGGAAACATCTTCACACAAAAACTATACAGAAGCATTCTGAGAAACTTCTTTGTGATGTGTGCATTCATCTAACAGAGTTGAACCTTTGCTTTGATAGAGCATTTTTGAAAAACTCTTTTTGTAGAATCTGCAAGTGGATATTTGGAGTGCTTTGAGGCCTATTGTGGCAAAGGAAATACCTTCACATAGAAACTACACAGTAGAATTCTGTCAAACTTCTTTGTGATGTGTGCCTTCAAGTCACACAGTTGAAACTTTGTTTTGATTAACCAGTTTGGAAACATTCTCTTTCTAGAAACTGCAAGTGGATATGTGGAGCCTTTTGCGGCCTAAGGTGGAAAAGGAAATATCTTCACATAAAAACTACACAGAAGCATTCAAAGAAACTTCTTTTTGATGTGTGCATTCAGCTCACAGAGTTGAACTTATCTTTTTATTGAGGAGCTTTGAAAATCTCTTTTTGTAGAATCTGCAAGTGGATATTTAGAGCCCCTTGCTGCCTGTGGTGGAAAAAGAAATATCTTCTCATAAAAACTATACAGAATCATTCTGAAAAAACTTATTGGTGATGCGTGCATTAATCTCACAGTGTTGAACCTTTCTTTTGATTGACCTGTTTAGAAACACTATTTTTGTAGAACCTGCAAGTGGATATTTGGAGCCTTTTGAGTCCTTTGTTGGAAAAGGAAATATCTTCACATAAAACCTACACGGAAGCATTCTGAGAAACTCCTTTGTGATGTGTGCCTTCATCTCACAGAGTTGAAGCTTTCTTTTGATTGAGCAGTGTTGAAAGAGTCTTTTTGTAGATTCTGCAAGTGGATATTTCGAGGGCTTTGAGTCCTATTTTGGAAAAGGAAATATCTTCACAAAAAAACTACACAGAAGCCTTCTGAGAAACTTCTTTGCAATGTGTGCATTCATCTCACAGAGTTGAACATTTCTTTTTATTGAGCACTTTTGAAGCACTCTTTTTGTAGAATCAGCAAGTGTATATTTGGAGCCCTTTGCAGCCTGTGGTGGAGAAAGGAAATATCTTCACATAAAATCTACAGAGAAGCGTTCTGTGAAACTGGTTTGTGATGTGTGCATTCATCTCACAGATTTGAACCTTTCTGTTGATTCAGCAGTTTTGAAACACTCTTTCTGTAGAATCTGCAGTTGGATATTTGGAGCACTTTGAGGCCTATTGTGGCAAAGGAAATATCTTCACATAAAAACTACACAGAAGCATTCTGAGAAACTATATTGTGATGTGTGCATTCATCTCACAGAGTTGAACCTTTCTTTTGTTTGAGCAGTTTTGAAACACTCTATTTTGTAGGATCTGCAAGTGGATATTTGGAGTGCTTTGAAGCCTATCATGGAAAAGGAAATATATTCACATGAAAACAACACAGAATCATTCTGACAAACTTCTTTGCAATGTGTGCGTTCATCTCACAGAGTTGAACTTTTCTTTTTATTGAGCAGTTTTCAAAAACTGTTTTTGTAGTATCTCTAACTGGACATTTGGAGCGCATTGAGGCCTATGGTGGAAAAGGCTATATCTTCACACAAAATCTACACAGAAGCATTCTGAGAAACTTCTTTCTGATGTGTGCATTCAAATCACAGATTTGAATCTGTCTTTTGATTGCACAGTTTCCAAACTCTCTTTTTGTAGAATCTGCAAGTGGATATTTGGAGCCCTTGGTGTCCTCTGGTGGAAAAGAAAATATCTTCACATAAAAACTACACAGAAGCATTCTGAGAAACTTCATTTTCATGTATGCATTCATCTGAGAGAGTTGAACTTTTCTTTTCACCAAGCATTTTTGAAACAGTCTTTTTGTAGAATCTGCAAGTGGATATTTGGAGCCCCTCGAGGCCTACTGTGGAAAAGAAAATATCTTCACATAAAAACAACACAGATGCATTCTGAGAAACTTCTTTGCAATGTGTGCCTGCATCTCACAGAGATCAACTTTCTTTTGATTGAGGAATTTTGAAACACACTTTTTGTAGAATCTGCAAGTAGATATTTGGAGTACGTTGAGGCCTATGGTGAAAAAGGAAATATCTTCACATAAAGCTACACAGAAGCATTTTGAGAAACTTCTTTCGACATGTTCGTTCAACACACTGTGGTGAACATTTCTTTTGATTGAGAAGTTTTGAAACCCACTATTTGTAGAATCTGCAAGTGGATATTTTTAGTGCTTAGGACCTATTGTGGAAAAGGAAATGTCTTCACTTAAAAACTACACAGAAGCATTCTGAGAAACATCTGTGTGATTTGTTCATTCACCTCACAGATTTGTAACTTTCTTTTGATTGAGCAGTTTGGAAACACTCTTTTAGTAAAATCTACAAGCGGATACTTGGAGCGCTTTGAGGCCTATTGTAGAAATGGAAATATCTTCACATAAAAACTAAACAGAAGCATTCTGAGAAACTTCTTTGAGATGTGTGTATTGAACTCAGAGTTGTACCTATCTTTTGATAGACGAGTTTTGAAACTCTCTTTATGTAGAATCTGCAAGTGAATATTTGGAGCCCTTTGTGGTCAATGGTGTAAAAGGAAATACCTTCACATAAAAACTACACAGAAGCTTTCTGAGAAACTTCTTTGTGATTTGTGCATTCATCTCAAGGAGATGAACCTTTAATTTGATTGAGCAGTTTTGAAACACTCTTTTTGTAGAATCTGCAAGTGGATATTTGGAACGCTTTGGAGAGAATGGTGGAAATGGAAATATCTTCACATAAAAACTACGGAGGAGCATTCTGAGAAACGTCTTTGTGATGTGTGCATTCAACTCACAGAGTTCAACCTTTCTTTTGATTGAGCAGTTTTGAATCCCTCTTTTTGTAGAATCTGCTAGTGTATATTTGGAGCACTTTGGGGCCTATGGTGAAAAGGAAATTTCTTCACATAAAAACTATAAAAAAGCACTCTGAAAAACTTCTATGTGATGTGTGCATACAATTCACAGAGTTGAACATTTCTTTTGATTGTGCAGTTTTGAAACACTCTTTTTGTAGAAACTGCAAGTAGATACTCGGAGGGCTTCGCAGACTATAGTGGCAAAGGAAATAACTTTGCATAAAGCTAAACAGAAGCATTCTGAGAAACTTCTTTGTGATGTGTGCATTCAACTCACAGAGTTGAACCTTTCTTTTGATTGAGCAGTTTTGAAACTCTATTTTTGTAAAATCTGCAAGTGTATATTTGGTGCGATTTGCGTCCAATGGTGGAAAATTAAATACCTTCACATAAAAAGTAGACAGAAGCATTCTGAGAATCTTCTTTGTGATGTGTGCATTCACCTCACAGAGTTGTAACTTTTTTTATTGAGGACGTTTGAAACACTCTTTTTGTAGAATCTTCAAGTGGGTGTTTGGAGCACTTTGTGGCCTATAGTGGAAAACGATGTATATTCACATAAAAACTAGACAGAAGCATTCTGAAAAACTTCTTTGTGATGTGTGCCTTCATTTGAAAGAGTTCAACCTTTCTTTTGATTGAGCACTTTTGAAATACTCTTTTTGGAGTATCTGTAAGTGGATATTTGGAGAGCTTTGAGTCCTATGGTGGTAAGGGGAAACATCTTCACATAAAAACGACACAGAAGCATTCTGAAATACCTCTTTGTGATGTATGCATTCATCTCACATAGTTGAACCATTCTTTTGAATGAGCAGTTTTGAAACACTCTCTTTGTAGAATGTGCAAGTGGATATTTGGACCGCTTTGATGAGTATGGTGGAAAATGAAAAATCTTCACATAAAAACTAGACAGAATTACTCTGAGAAACTTCTTTGTGATGTGCGCATTCATCTCACAAATTTGAAAATTTCTTTTGATTGAGCAGTTTTGAAACGCTCTTTTTCTAGAATCTGCCAGTGGATATTTGGAGTGCATTGAGTCCTATGGTGGAGAAGGAAATATCCTCACATAAAAACTAGAGAGAAGCATTCTGAGAAACTTCTTTGTTATGTGTGCATACATCTCATGGAGTTGAAACTTTCTATTGATTCAGCATTTTTTAAACACTTTTTGTAGTATCTGCAGTTGATATTTGGAGCCCATTGGGGCCAATGGTGGAAAAGGATTATCTTCTCATAAAAACTAGATTGAAGCATTTTGAGCAAATTCTTTGTGATGTGTTCGTTCATCTCACAGATTTGAACCATTCTTTTGATTCAGCAGTTTTGAAGCACTCTTCGTAGAATCTGCAAGTGCATATTTAGATCGCTTTGAGACGTGTGGTGGAAAAGGAAATATCTTCACATAAACACTAGACAGAAGCATTCTGAGAAATGTCTTTGTGATGTGTCCATTCACTTCACAGAGTTGAAACTTTCTTTTCATTGAGCAGTTTTGAAACACTCTTTTTATAGAATATGCAAGTGGATATTTGGAGCGTTTTGGAGAGAATGGTGGAAATGGAAATATCTTCATATAAAAACTACGGAGAAGCATTCTGAGAAACGGCTTTGTTTTGTGTGCCTTCAGCTCACAGAGTTGAACCTTTCTTTTGATTGAGCAGTTTTGAATCCCTCTTTTTGTATAATCTGAAAGTGGATATTTGGAGAGCTTTAGGGCCTATGGTGGAAAAGGAAATATCTTCACATAAAAACTACATAAAAGCATTCTGAGAAACTTCTTTCTGATGTGCGCATACAACTCCCAGAGTTGAACCTTTCTTTTGATTGTGCAATTTTGAAACACTTCTTTTGTAGAATCTGCAAGTGGATATTCGGAGGGCTTTGCCGAGTATAGTGGAAAAGGAAATAACTTTGGATAAAAGGTAGACAGAAGCATTCTGAGAAACTTCTTTGTGATGTGTGCATTCAACGTACAGAGTTGAACCTTTCTTTAGATTGGGCAGTTTTGAAACACTATTTTTGTAAAATCTGCAAGTGGATATTTGGTGACGATTGCGGCCTATGATGGAAAAGCAAATATCTTCACATAAAAACTAGACAGAAGCATTCTGAGAATCTTCTTTGTGATGTGTGCATTCATCTCACACAGTTCAACTTTTCTTTTGATTCAGCAGTTTGGAAACAGTATTTTTCTACAATCTGCAAAGGGATACTTCTTAGCCGATTTAGGCCTATGGTGAATTAGGAAATATCTTCACATAAAAAATAAACAGAAGCTTTCTGAGAAACTTCTTTGGGATGTGTGTTTTCATCTCACAGAGATGAAACTACCTTTTGATTGAGCAATTTAGAAACTCTCTTTTAGTAGGATCTGCAAATGGATATTTGGAGCGCTTTGAGGCCTGTGGTGAAAAAGGAAATATCTTCACATAACAACCAGACAGAAGCATTCTGGAAACATCTTTGTGATGTGTGCATTCATCTCACAGAGTTGAACCTTTCTTTTGATTGAGCAGTTTGGAAACAGTCTTTTATAGTATCTGCAGAGAGATATTTGTGAGCATTTTGAGGACTTTGGTGAGAAAGGAAATATCTTCATATAAAACCTAGTCAGAAGATTCTGAGAAACTGCTTTGTGATGTGTGCATTCAACTGACAGAGTTGAAACTTTGTTTTGATTCAGCAGTTTGGAAACAGTCCTTTTGTAGGATCTGCAAAGGGATATTTCTGAGCCCATTGAGACCTATGGTGAAAGAAGAAATATCTTCACTTAAAAACTAGACAGAAGCATTCTGAGAAACTTCTTAGTGATGTGTGCTTTCATCTCACATGTTTGAACCTTTCTTTTGATTGAGCAGTTTGGAAACAGTGTTTTTGTAGAATCTGCAAAGGATATGTCAAGCGCTTTGATGCCTATGGTGAAAAAGGACATATCTTCACATGGAATCTAAACAGAAGCTTTCTGAGAAACTTCTTTTTTATGAGTTCATACATCTCACAGAGGTGAAACTTTCTTTTCATTGAGCAGTTTGGAAACAGTCTTTTTGTACAGTCTGCAAAGGAAATTTCTGCGAAGTTGGAGGCCTATGGTGAAAAAGAAATATCTTCAGATAAAATGTAGACAGAAGTATTCTGAGAAAATTTTTTGTGATGTATCTATTCATCTCACAGATTTGAACTTTTCTTTTGATGGAGCAGTCTGGAAACAATCTTTTTGTAGTATCTGAAGAGGGATATGTGAGAGCAGTTTAAGGCCTGTGGTGAAAAAGGAAATATCTTCACATAAAAACTAGGTAGAAGCATTCTAAGAAACTTCTTTGTATTGTGTGCATTCATCTCAAAGAGTTGAAGCTGTCTTTGGATTGAGCAGTTTGGAAACTGTCGTTTTGTAGAATCTGTGAAGGTATATTTCTGAGCCCATTGAGGCCTATGGATGAAATAGGAAATATCTTCACATAAAAACTAGACAGAGGATTTCTGAGAAACTTCTTTGTGATATGTGGTTTCATCTCACAGAGTTGAACCATTCCTTTGATTGAGCAGTTTGGAAACAGTCTTTTTGTAGGATCTGCAAAGGGATATTTCTGTTCCCATTGATGCCTATGGTGAAAAAGGACATATCTTCACATAAAAACTAGACAGAAGCTTTCTGATAAACTTCTTAGTGATGTGTGCTTTCATGTCACAGATTTGAAACTTTCTTTTGATTGATCAGTTTGGAAACAGTCTTTTTGTAGAATCTGCAAATGGATATTTGGAGTGCTTTGAGGCTTATGGTGAAAAAGGAAATACCTTCACATGAAATATAAACAGAAGCTTTCTGAGAAACTTCTTTTTGATGCATGCATACATCTCACAGAGTTGAACGTTTCTTTTCATTGAGCAGTTTGGAAACAATCTTTTTGTACAATCTGGAATGGGATATTTCTGAGAAGTTGGAGGCCTATATCAAAAAAGAAATATCTTCACATAAAAACTAGACAAAAGTATTCTGAGAAACTTCTTTGAGAGGTATCCTTTCATCTCAGAGAGGTGAACTTTACTTTTGATGGAGCAGTTTGGAGACAGTCTTTTTGTAGTATCTGCAGAGGGATATCTGAGAGCAGTTTAAGGCCTATGGTGAAAAAGGAAATATCTTCACATAAAAACTAGGCAGAAGCATTCTGAGAAACTTCTTTGTGATGTATGCATTCAACTCAAAGAGGTGAAACTTTCTTTGGATTGAGCAGTTTGGAAATAGTCCTTTTGCAGTATCTGTAAAGGGATATTTCTCAGCCCATTGAGGCCTATGGTGAAATAGGAAATAACTTCTCATAAAAACCAGACAGAACGTTTCTGAGAAACTTCTTTGAGATATGTGCTTTCATCTCACAGAGTTGAACCTTTATTTTGGTTCAGAAGTTTGGAAACAGTCTTTGTGTAGAATCTGCAAAGGGCTATTTTTGAGCACCTTCTGGACTATGGTGAAACATAAAATATCTTCACATAAAAACTAGACAGGAGCTTTCTGAGAAACTTCTTTATGATGTGTTCTTTCATCTCACAGAGTTGTAAATTTCCTTTGATTGAGCAGTTTGGAAACACTCTTTATGGGGAATCTGCAAGTGGATATTTGGAGTGCTTTGTGGCCTATAGTGGAAAATGAAATATCTTCACATAAAAACTAGATAGAATCATTCTGAGAAACTTCTTTGTGATGTGCACATTCATCACAAAGAGTTGAACATTTCTTTCGATTCAGCAGTTTGGAAACAGTCCTTATGTAGAATCTGTGAAGGGATATTTCTCAGACCATTGATGCCTATGGATGAAATAGGAAATATTCTCACAAAAAAACTAGACAGAAAATTTCTGAGAAACTTCTTTATGATATGTGGTTTCATCTCACAGAGTTGAACCGTTCTTTTGGTTGAGCAGTTTGGAAACACATTTTTTGTAGAATCTGCAAGTGGATATTTGGAGCACATCGAGGCCTATGGTGGAAAATGGAATATTTTCACATAAAATTTAAACAGAATCATTCTGAGAAACTTCTTTGTGATGTGTGCATTCAACCCACAGAGTTCAACCTTTCTTTTGATTCAACAGTTTTGAAACACTCTTTTTGTAAAATCTGCCAGTGGATTTTTGGAACGCTTTGAGGCCTACAGTGGAAAAGGAAATATCTTCACATAAATAGTACACAGAAGCATTCTGAGAAACTTCTTTGTGATGTGTGCATTTAACTCAAAGAGTGCAATCCTTCTTTTGATTGAGCAGTTTTGAAAGACTCCTTTTGTAGAATCTGTAAGTGGATATTTGGAGCGCTATGTGGCCTTAAGTGGAAAAGGCAATATCTTCACATAAAAACTAGTCAACAGCATTCTGAGAAACTTCTTTGTCATGTGTGCATTCATCTCACAGAGTTGAAGCTTTCTTTTGATTGAGCAGTTTTGAAGCACTCTTTTTGTAGAATCTCCAATTGGATACTTGGAGCGTTTTGAGGCCTATTGTAGAAAAGTAAATATCTTCACGTGAAAACTACACAGAAGCATTCTGAGAAATTGGTTTGTGATGTGTGCATTCAACACACAGAGTTGAACCTTTCTTTTGATTGAGCAGTTTTGAAACACACTTTTTTTAGGATCTGCAAGTGGATATTTGGAGTGCTTTGTGGCCTACTGCGGAAAAGGATATATCTTCACATAAAAACTACGGAGAAGCATTCTGAGAAACTTCTTTGTGATGTGTGCATTCATCTCGCAGAGTTCAACCTTTCTTTTGATTGAGCAGTTTTGAACCACTCTTTTTGTAGAGTGTGCAAGTGGATATTTGGAGCACTTTGAGGCTTATGGTAGGAAAGGAAATATCTTCACATAAAAACTACAGAGAAGCATTCTGACAAAGTTCTTTGTGTTGTGTGTGTTCAACTCACAGATTTGAGTCTTTCTTTTGATTGAGCAGTTTTGAATCACTCTTTTTTTAGAATCTGCAAGTGGATATTTCGAGTGTTTTGCAGCCTCTGTTGGAAAAGGAAATATCTTCACATAAAATCTAGACAGAAGCATTCTGAGAAATTTCTTCATGATGTGTGCATTCATCTCACAGAGTTGAACCTTTCTTTTGATTGAGCAGTTTTGAAACACTCTTTTTGTAGAGTCTCCAAGTGGATATGTGGAGCACTTTGAAGCCATGATAGAAAAGGAAATATCTTCACATAAGAACTAGACAGAATCATTCTAAGATACTTCTTTGTGATGTGTACATTCAACTCACAGAGTTGAACATTTCTTTTGATTGAGCAGTTTTGAAGCACTCTTTTCGTAGAATCAGCAGTTGGATATTTAGAGCGCTTTGAGGCCTATGGTGGAAAAGGAAATATCTTCACATAAAAACTAGACAGAAGCATTCTGAGAAACTTTTCTGTGATGTGTGCATTCAACTCACCGAGTTGAACATGTCTTTTATTGAGCAGTTTGGATACATTCTTTTCGTACCATCTTCAAATTTGTATTTGGACAGCTTTGAGGCCTATAGTGGAAAAGGAAATATCTGCACATAAAAACTAGACAGAAGCATTCAGAGAAACTTCTTTGTGATGTGTGCATTCATCTCACAGAGTTGAACCATTCTTTTCATTGAGCAGTTTTGAGACACTCTTTTTGTAGAATCTGCAAGTGGATATTTGGATCTCTTTGAGACATACAGTGCAAAAGAATATATCTTCCCTTAAAAACTAGCCAGAAGCATTCTGAGAAAGTACTTTGTGATGTGTGTATTCTACTCACAGAGTTCAAACTTTATTCTGATTGGGCAGTTTTGAAACACACTTTTTGTAGAATCTGCAATTGGATATTTGGATCGCTTTGCGGCCTCTTGTGGAAAAGGAAATATCTTCACATGAAAACTACAGGGAATCATTTTGAGAAACTTCTTTGTGATGTGTGCTTTCAGCTCTCAGAGTTGAAACTTTCTTTTGATTGAGCAGTTTTGAAACACTCTTTTTGTAGAATCTGCAAGTGGATATTTAGAGTGCTTTGATGCCTATGGTGGAAAAGGAAATATCTGCAATGAAAACTAGACAGAAGCATTCTGAGAAACTTCTTTGTGTTGTGTGTATTCATCTCAGAGAGATGAACTTACTTTTTGTTGAGCAGTTTGGAAACACTCTTTTTGTAGAGTCTGCCATTGGATATTTGGAGCGCGGTGAATCCTATGGTGGAAAAGGACATATCTTCACATAAGAACTATAAAGCAGGTTTTCTAAAAACAACCTTGTGATGTGTGCATTCATCTCACAGAGGTAAGTGTTTCTTTTCTCCTATCAGTCTGGAAACTGTGTTCTTGTACAATCTCAAAGGGGGTATTTTTGAGCACTTTGAGGCCTATTGTGACAAAGGAAATATCTTCACATTCAAAGTATGCAGAAAGTTTCCAAGATACTTTTTTGTGATATGTGCATTCATCTCACAGATTTGAATGTCTCTTTTAATTTAGCCCTTTGGAAACAGTCTTTTTGAAGAATCTGCAAACGGATATTTGTGAGCACTTTGAGGCCTATGCAGGAAAAGAAGTATCTTCACAGAAAACTATAAAGAAGGTTTCTGAGAAACTGTTTTTTGATGTCTGCATTCATCTCACAGAGGTAAACAATTATTTTCTTTGATCAGTTGGGAAACTCTGTTCTTGTAGGATCTGCTAAGGGACATTTTTGAGTGCCTAGAGCCCTATTGTGAAAAAGATATTGTCTTCACATGAAAACTAGACAGAAGCCTAGTGAGAAACTTCTTGGTGATATGTGCATTCATCTCACAGAAATGAAACTTTCTTTTGATTAAGCAGTTTAGAAACGTCTTTTTGTAGAATCTGTAAAGGGATATTTCTCATCACTTTGAGGCCTATGGTGAAAGAGAAATTATCTTCACAAAAAAACTAGACTAAAGATTTCTGAGAAACTGCTTTGTGATGTATGCATTCATCTCACAGAGTTCAACAATTCTTTTGATGGAGCAGTTGGGAAACCACGTTTTTATAGAATCTGCAAAGGGATATTTGTGAGCACTTTGAGTTCTATGGTTAAAAGGAAATATCTTCACATAAAAACTATAAAGAAGGTTTGTGAGAAACTTCTTTATGATGTGTGCATTCATCTCACAGAGTTGAACCATTCCTTTGACTCAGCGGTTTGGAAACAGTCTTTTTTTAGGATCTGCAAAGGGATATTTTTGAGCACTTTGAGGCCCATGGTGAAAAAGGAAACACTTTCACATAAAAACAAGATAGATGCTTTCTGAGAATCATCTTTTTGATGTTTGCATTTATCCCACAGAGGTGAACCTTTCTTTTGATGAGCATTTTGGAAGCAGTATTTGGTAGAATTTCCAAAGGGTTATTAGTTAGTGTTTTGTGTCCTATGTTGGAAAAGGAATTATTTTTAAATAAAAACTAGACAGAATATTTCTGAGAAACTGCCTTGTGATGTTTGCTTTCATCTCACAGAAGTAACCATTTCTTTTCAATGAACAGATTGGAAATTCTGTTCTTGTAAAATCTGCAAAGGGATATTTGTCAGCACTTTGAGGCCTATGGTGAAAAAGGAATTATCTTCACATAAAAACTAGACGGAAGCTTTCTGTGAAACATCTTGGAGATGCGAGAATTCATCTCACAGAGTTGAAACATTCTTTTGATTGGGCAGTTTGTAAACAGTATTTTGGTAGAATCTGCAAATGGATATTTGTGATGCTTTGAAGCCTATGGTGAAAACGAAATATTTTCACATGAAAACTAGAGAGAAGCTTTCTGAGAAACCTCCTTGTGATGTGTGCATTCGTCTCACAGATTTGAAACTTTCTTTGGATTGAGCAATTTGGAAACAGTATTTTTGTAGAATCTGTAAAGGCATATTTTTGAGTGGTATGAGGCCTATGATGAAATAGGAAATATCTTCACATAAAAACTAGACAGAAACTTTCTGAGAAACTTCTTTGTGATGTGTGCATTCATCTCGTAGAGTTCAACCATTCTTTTGATGGAACAGTTTGGAAACACTCTTTTTGTAGAATCTGCAAAGGGATATTTATGAGTGCTTTGAGGCCTATGGTTAAAAAGGAAATGTATTCACATAAAAAGTATAAACAAGGTTTCTCAGAAACAGCTTTATGATTTATGCATTCATCTCACAGAAGTAAACGTTTCTTTTCTCTGATCTGTCTGGAAACTGTTCTTGTAGATTCTGCAAAGGGATAATTGTGAGTGCTTTGAGGCCTATGGTGAAAAAGGAAATATCTTCACATAAAAATTAGAGAGAGGCTTTCTGAGAAACCTCTTTGTGATGTGGGCATTCATCTCACAAAGTTGAAACTTACTTTTGATTGAGCAGTATGGAAACCGTCTGTTTGTGGAATCTGCAAAGGGATATTTATGAGAGCTTTGAGGCCAATGGTGAAAAAGGAAATATATTCATATAAAAGGTATAAAGAAGGTTTCTTAGAAACAGCTTTGTGGTGTGTGCATTGATCTCAGAGAGGTAAACGTTTATTTTCTGTGATCAGTCAGGAAACTGTTCTTGTAGAATCTGCAAAGGGATATTTGTGAGTGCTTTGAGGCCTATGGTGAAAAAGGAAATATCTTCACATAAAAACTAGACAGAAGCTTTCTTAGTGGCTTCTTTGTGATGTGTGCAATCATCTCACAGAGTTGAACCATTCTTTTGATTGAGCAGTCTGGAAACAGTGTTTTTATAGAATCTGCAAGGGATACTTGTCACGACTTGTAGTGCTATGGTGAAAAAGGAAATATCTTCACATAAAAAATGGACAGAAGATTTCTGAGAAACCTCTTTGAGATGTGTGCATCCATCTCACAAAGTTCAACCATTTATTTGATTGAGCAGTTGCGAAGCAGTCTTTTTGCAGAATCTACAAAGGGATATTCCTGAGCACTTTGAAGCCTGTGGTGGAAAAGGAAATATCTTCACGTAAAAACTAAAAAGAAGTTTCTGAGAAACTTCTCTGTGATGTACACATTCATCTCACAGAGTTGAACTATTCTTTTGATTAAGCACTTTGGAAACAATCTTTTTGTAGAATCTGCAAAGGGATATTTTTGAGCACTTTGAGTCCTAGGGAGAAAAAAGAATTATCATCACATAAAAAGTATAAAGAAGGTTTCTGAGAAACAGTTTTGTGATGTGTGCATTCACCACACAGAGAAAAACGTTTGTTTTGTTTGATCAGTCTGGAAATTCTGTTCTTGTAGAATCTGCTAAGGGATAATTGTGAGCAGATGGAGGCCTATGGTGAAAAAGGAAATGTCTTCATATAAAAATTAGACAGAAGCTTCCTGCAAAACTTCTTAGTGATTTGTGGATTCATCTCAGAGTTGAAACTTTCTATTCATTGAGCCGTTTGGAAACAGTCTTTTTGTAGACTCTGCAAATGGATATTTGGAGCACTTTGAGGCCTATGGTGAAAAATGAAATACATTCACATAAAAATCAGACTGAAAGTTTGTGAGAAACTTCTTTGAGATGTGTGCATTCATCTCACAAAGTTCAATAATTCTTTTTATTGAGCGATTTGGAACAATCTTTTTGTAGAATCTGCAAAGAGATATTTGTGAGGGCTTTGAGGCCTATGGTGAAAAAGGAAATATCTTCACAGAAAAACTATAAAGAAGGTTTCTGAGAAACTTCTTTGTGATGTGTGCAGTCATCTCACACAGTTCAACTTTTCTTTTGATTGAGCAGTTTGGAAACAGTCTTTTTAAATATTCTTCAAGTGGATACTTCTGAGCACCTTGAGGCTCATGGGGAAAAAGGAAACATTCACATAAAAAATTAATAGAAGATTTCTGAGAAACCACTTTTTGACATGTGCATTCATCTCACAGAGTTGAACCTTTCTTTTGATGAGCAGTGTGGAAACAATCTTTTTGTAGAATCTGCAAAGGGACAATTTTGAGTGCTTTACATCCTGTGGTGGAAAAGGAGATACCTTCACATAAAAACTAGACAGAATGTTTCTCAGAAACTGCTTTGTGATATGTACATTCATCTCCCAGATGTGTCTGTTTCTTTTCATTGAGAAGATTGGAAACTCTTTTCTTGTAAGATCTGCAAAGGGATATTTGTGAGCCCTTTGAGGTGTATGGTGAAAAAGGAAATATCTTCACATAAAAACTACACAGAAGCTTTCTGAGAAACATCCTCGTGATGTGAGCATTCACCTCACAGAGTTGAAACATTCTTTTGATTGAGCCATGTGTAAAGAGTCTTTTTGTAGAATCTGCAAAGGGATATTTGTGAATGCTTTGAGGCCTATGGTGAAAAAGGAAATATCTTCACATAAAAACTAGAGAGAAGCTTTCTGAGAAACCTCTTTGTGGTGTGCATACATCTCACAGAGTTGAACCTTTCTTTTGATTGAGCAATTTGGAAGAAGTATTTTTGTAGAATCTGTAAAGAGATATTTGTGAGCACTTTGAGACCTACGGTGAAAAACTGGACAGAAGCATTATGAGAAACTACTTCGTGATGTGTGCATTCATCACACAGAGTTGAACCTTTGTTTTGATTGAGCCGTTTGGAAACAGTCTTTTTGTAGACTCTGCAAACGGATATTTGGAGCACTTTGAGGCCTATCGTGAAAAAGGAAATATATTCACATAAAAACTAGACTGAAGGATTCTGAGAAACTTCTTTGAGCTGTGTGCATTCATCTGACAGTGTTCAATAATTCTTTTTATTGAGCAGCTTGGAAACAGTCTTTTTGTAGAATCTGCAAAGGGATATTTGTGATGTCTTTGAGGTCTATGTTGAAAAAGGAAATATCTTCAGGGAAAAACCATAAAGAAAGTTTCTGAGAAACTTCTTTGGATGTGTGCATTCATCACACAGAGGTGAAATATTCTTTGGATTGAGCAGTTTGCAAACAGTCTTTTTGTAGAATCTGCAGAGGGATATTTGTAGAGCTTTGAGGCTTATGATGAATAAGGAAATATATTCACATAAAAACTAGACAAAAGTTTTCTGAGAAACTTTTTGTGATGTGTGCATTTATCTCATAGAGTTTAACATTTTTTTTTTTGATAGAGCAGTATGGAAACAGTCTTTTTGTAGAATCTGCAAAGGGATATTTAGGAGCAAGTTGAGGCCTATGGTGGAAAAGGAAATATCTTCACATAAAAGCTAGAAAGAAGCATTCTGAGAAGCTGCTTTAAGATATGTGTACTCATCTCACAGATGTAAACATTTCTTTTCATTGAGCAGTTTGTAAACTCTGTTATTCTAGAGTCTGCAAAGGGATATTTTTGAGTGCTTTGAGACCCATGTTGAAAAAGGAAGTATCTTCATATAAAAACTAGTGAGAAGCTTACTGAGAAACTACTTTCTGATGAGTGCATTCATCTAACAGAGTTGAAACTTTCTTTTGATTGAGCAGTTTGGAAACAGTCTTTTTGTAGACTCTGCAAAGGTATATTTGGGAGTGCATTGAGGCCTATGTTCAAAAAGGAAATATCTTCAAATAAAACTGAGAAGGAAGTTTTCTGAGAAACTTCTTTGTGATGTACACATTCGTCTCACAGGGTTGAATCATTCTGTTTATTGAGCAGTTTGGAAACAATCTTTTTGTAGAATCTGCAAAGGGATATCTGTGAGTGCATTGAGGCATATGGTGAAAAAGGAAATATCTTCATATTAAAAGTAGAAAGAAGTTTTCTGAGTAACTCATTTGTGACATGTGCATTTATCACACAGAAGTAAAAATTTCTTCCCATTAAGCAGTTAGTTTTTATGTGAAGATATTTCCGTTTTCACCATAGACCTCAAACTGTCTACATATATCCCTTTGCAAATTCTACAAAAAGACTGTTACAAAACTGCTCAATCAAAGAAAGCTTCCACTCTGTGAGATGAATGCACACATCACAGAGAAGTTTCTCAGAAAGTTTCTGTCTACTTTTTATTTGTTGATACTCCCTTTTTCACCATAGACCTCAAACCACTCATAAATAACCCTTTTCAGATTCTACAAAAAGACTGTTTCCAAACTACTCAATCAAAAGAAAGCTTCAATTCTGTGAGGTGAATGCACACATCACAAAGAAGTTTCTCAGAATGCTTCTGTCTAGTTTTTATCTGAAGACATTTCCTTTTTCACCATAGGCCAAAAAGGGATCCCAAATATCCCTTTGTACATTCTACAAAGGACTGTTTCCAAACTGCTCAATCCAAAGACAGGTTCAACTTTTGCGATGAATGCACACATCACAAAGAAGTTTCTCAGAAAGCTTCTGTCTAGTTTTTGTGTGAAGATATTACTTTTTTCACCATAGGCTTCAAAGGGCTCACATATATCGCAAAGCAGATTCTACAAAAAGACTCTATCCAAACTGGTCAAGGAAAAGAATACTTCAAATCTGTGAGATGAATGTGCACATCTCAAAGAATTTTCTCAGAAATCTTCTGTCTAGTTTTTATGTGTAGATATTTCCTTTTTCACCATAGACCTGAAACCGCCTATATATAACCCTTTGCAGATTCTACAAAAAGACTGTTTCCAAACGGCTCAATCAAAGAAAGCTTCTACTCTGTGAGATGAATGCACATATCAGAGAGAAGTTTCTCAGAAAGTTTCTGTCTAGTTTTTATTTGTCGATATTCCCTTTTTCACCATAGGCCTCAAACAGCTCATAAATAACCCTTTGCAGATTCTACAATAGGACTGTTTCCAAACTGCTCACTCAAATGAAAGTTCAGCTGTGTGAGATGAATGCACACATCAAAAAGAAGTTTCTCAGAATGTTTCTGTCTAGTTTTTATGTGAAGACACTTTTTTTCACCATAAGCCTGAAAGTGTTCCCAAATTTTCCTTTGCAGATTCTATGAAAAGACTGTTTCCAAACTGCTCAATCAAAAGAAAGGTTCAATTCTGTGTGATGAATGCACACATCACTACGAAGTTTCTCAGAAGGATTCTGTCTAGATTTTATTTGTGGATATTTCCTTTTTCACAATAGGCCTCAGAAAGCTCACAAATATCGCTTTGCTTATTCTACAAAAAGACTGTTTCCTATCTGCTCAATGAAAGAAAATTAAACTCTGTGAGATGAATGCATGCATCGCAAAGTGGTTTCTCAGAATGCTTCTGTCTAGTTTTTATATGAAGATATTTCCTTTTTCATCACATGCCTCAAACCACTCAAAAACATCCATTTACAGATTCTCCAAAAAGACTGTTTCCAAACTGCTCAATCAAAAGAAAGATTCAAGTCTTTGAGATGCATACACCCATCACAAAGAAGTTTCCCAGAAAACATGAGTCTAGTGTTTATATGAAGATATTTCCTTTTGCACCATAAGCATCAAAGCATTCACCAATATCACTTTGCAGGTTCTACAAAAAGACTGTTTCCAAACTGGTGAATTGAAAGAAATTCAACCCTGTGAGATGAATGCACACATCACAAAGAAGTTCTTCAGAAAGCTGCTGTCTACATTTTATTTTTCGATATTTCCTTTTTCACCATTGGATTCAAACCACTGAAACATATCACTTTGCAGATTCTACAAAAAGACTGTTTCCAAACTGCCCAATCAAAAGAAAGGTTCAACTCTGTGAGATGAATGCACACATCACAAAGAAGTTTCTCAGATAGCTCTTATTATTTTGAGATATGTCCCATCAATACCTAATTTATTGAGAGTTTTTAGCATGAAGGGTTGTGGAATTTTGTAAAGGCCTTTTCTGCATCTATTGAGATAATCATGTGGTTTTTGTCTTTGGTTCTGTTTATATGCTGGATTACATTTATTGATTTGCATATATTGAACCAGGCTTGCATCCCAGAGATGAAGCCCACTTGTTCATCGTGGATAAGCTTTTGGATGTGCTGCTGGATTCGGTTTGCCAGTATTTTATTGAGGATTTTTGCATCGATGTTCATCAAGGATATTGGTCTAAAATTCTCTTTTTTGGTTGTGTCTCTGCCAGGCTTTGGTATCAGGATGATCCTGGCTTCATAAAATGAGTTAGGGAGGATTCCCTCTTTTTCTATTGATTGGAATAGTTTCAGAAGGAATGGTACCAGTTCCTCCTTGTACCTCTGGTAGAATTCGGCTGTGAATCCATCTGATCCTGGACTCTTTTTGGTTGGTAAGCTATTGATTATTACCACAATTTCAGATCCTGTTATTGGTCTATTCAGAGATTCAAATTTTTCCTGGGTTAGTCTTGAGAGGGTGTATATGTCGAAGAATTTATCCATTTCTTCTAGATTTTCTAGTTTATTTGCATAGAGGTGTTTGTAGTATTCTCTGATGGTAGTTTGTATTTCTGTGGGATCAGTGGTGATATCCCCTTTATCATTTTTTATTGCATTTATTTGATTCTTCTCTTTTTTCTTCTTTATTAATCTTGCTAGCGGTCTATCAATTTTGTTGATCCTTTCAAAAAACCAGCTCCTGGATTCATTAATTTTTTGAAGGGTTTTTTTTTGTCTCTATTTCTTTCAGTTCTGCTCTGATTTTAGTTATTTCTTGCCTTCTGCTAGCTTTTGAATGTGTTTGCTCTTGCTTTTCTAGTTCTTTTAATTGTGATGTTAGGGTGTCAATTTTGGATCTTTCCTGCTTTCTCTTGTGGGCATTTAGTGCTATAAATTTCCCTCTAAACACTGCTTTGAATGTGTCCCAGAGATTCTGGTATGTTGTGTCTTTGTTCTTGTTGGTTTCATGCTGCTATAAAGACACATGCACGTGTATGTTTATTGTGGCACTATTCACAATAGCAAAGACTTGGAACCAACCCAAATGTCCAACAATGATAGACTGGATTAAGAAAATGTGGCACATATACACTATGGAATACTATGGAGCCATAAAAAGTGATGAGTTCATGTCCTTTGTAGGGACATGGATGAAATAGGAAATCATCATTCTAAGTAAACTATCACAAGGACAAAAAACCAAACACTCACATGTTCTCACTCATAGGTGAGATTTGAACAATGAGAACACATGGACACAGCAAGGGTCACATCACACTCTGGGGACTGTTGTGGGGTGTGGGGAGGGGGGAGGGATAGCATTAGGAGATATACCTAATGCTAAATGATGAGTTAATGGGTGCAGGACACCAGTGTGGCACATGTATACATATGTAACTAACCTGCACATTGTGCACATGTACCCTAAAACTTAAAGTATAATAACAATAAAATAAAATAAAAAGAAAGTGCACATCACAAAGAAGTTTCTCAGAAAGTTTCTTTCTAGTTTTTATATGAAGATATTTCCTTTTTCACCATAGTCCACAAAGTGCACCAAATATCTTTTGCAGATTGTGCAAAAAGAGGTTTTCCAAACTGCTCAATCAAAAGAAAGGTTCAACTCTGTGAGATGAAATCACAAATCACAAAGAAGTTACTCAGAATGCTTCTGTCTAGTTTTTAAGTGAAGGTATTTCCTGTTACACCATGGGCCTCAAGGGGCTCACAAATATCCTTTTGCAGATTCTACAAAAAGACTGTTACAGAACTGCTCAATGAAAAGTAAGTTTCAACTCTGTGAGATGAATTCACACCTAAAAAAGAAGTTTCTCAGAATGCTTCTGTCTAGTTTTATGTGAAGATATTTCTTTGTCACCATAGGCCTCAAACCACTCAGAAATATCCCTATGCAGCTGTTACAAAAAGACTGCTTCTAAACTGCTCAATGAAAAGAAAGATTCTACTTTGTGAGATGAAAACACACATCACAAAGAATTTTCTCAGAAAGTTTTTTTCTAGCTTATATGTGAAGATATTTCCTCTTTCAGCATAGGCCTCAATGGGCTCAAAAATATCTCTTTTCAGATACTACAAAAGGCCTCTTTCCAAACTGCTCAATCAGAAGAAAGTTTCAACTCTGTGAGATGAAAGCACACATCACAAAGAAGTTTCTCAGAATATTTTTCTAGTTTTTATGTGAAGATATTTCCTATTTCACCATAAGCCATAAAGGTCTTCCAAATATCCCTTTGCAGACTCTACAAAAAGCCTGTTTCCAAACAACTCAATCAAAACAAAGTTTCAAATCTGTGAGATGAATGGACATATCACAAAGAAGTTTCTCAGAAGGCTTCTGCCTAGTTTTTATGTGAAGATATGACTTTTTCACCAGAGGCCTCAAAGAGCTAAGAAATATCCCTTTGCAGATTGTACAAAAAGACTGTTTCCAAATTTCTCAATGAAAAGACAGGTTCAACTCTGTGAGATGAATGCGCATATCATAAAGAAGTTTCTCAGAATGCCTCTGTCTAGTTTTTATGTGAAGTTATTTCCTTTTTCACCATAGGCCTTAAATGGCTCCCAAATATCCCTCTGCAGATACTACAAAAAGACTACTTGAAAACTGTTCAATCAAAGGAATGCTTCATCTCTGTGAAATGAATGCACCCATCCAAAGAAGTTTTTCAGAATGCTTCTGTCTAGTTTTTATGTGAAGATATTTCCTTTTTCACCACAGGCCTCAAAGTGCTCCAAATATCCATTTGCAGATTCTACAAAAAGACTGTTTCCAAACAGCTACATGAAAAGAAAGGTTCAATTCTGTCAGATAAATGCACACATGAAAAAGAAGTTTCTCAGAATGCTTCTGTCTGGTTTTTATCTGACATAATTATTTTTCACCATAGGCCTCAAACCGTTCAAAAACATCCCTTTGCATATTGTACAAAAAGACTGTTTCTAAACTGTCAAATGCAAAGAAAGGTTCAACTCTGTGAGATGAAACCACACATCACAAAGAAGTTCCTCATAATGCTTCTGTCTGGTTTTTATGTGAAGATATTTCATATTTCACCATAGGCCTCAAAGAGCTCACAAATATCCCTTTGCAGACTCTACAAAAAGACTGTTTTCGAACTGCTCCATGCAAAGAAAGGTTCAACTCTGTGAGACGAATGCACACATAAAAAAGAAGTTACTCAGAATGCTTCTGTCTAGTTTTTTTGTGAAGATATTTCTTTTTCACCATAGACATCAAACCATTCAGAAATATCCCTTTGTACATTGTACAAAAAGACTGTTTCCAAACTGTTCAATCAAAAGAAAGGCTCAAACCTGTGAGATGAAAGCACACATCACAAAGAAGTTTCTCAGAATGTTTCTGTCTAATTTTTATGGGAGGATATTTCTTTTTCACCATAGGAATCAAACCCCTCAGAAATATCCCTTTGCAGATTGTAGATAAAGAATTTTTCCTAACTGCTCAATCAAAAGAACAGTTCAAGTCTGTGAGATGAAAGCACACATCACAAAGAAGTTTCTCAGAAATCTTCTGTCTAGTTTTTATGTGAAGATATTTCCCTTCTAACGATAGGCCTCAAAGAAATCCAAATATCAATTTGCAGATTCTACAAAATAGTGTTTCCAAACTGCTCAATCAAAAGAAATTTTCAACTCTGTGAGATGAAAACACACATCACAAAGAAGTTCTTCAGAAAGTTTCTCACTAGATTTTATGTGAAGATATTTAGTTTTTCACCACAAGCCACAAAGTGCTCCAAATATCCATTTGCAGATACTTCAAAAAGAGTTTTTCCAAACTGCTCAATCAAAAGAAAATTTCAACTCTGTGAGATGAATGCAAACATCACAAAGAAGTTTCTCGGTATGCTTCTGTATAGTTTTTCTGTGAAGATATTTCCCATTTCACCATGGGCCTCAGTGGGCTCACATATATCCTTTTGCAAATTCTACAAAAGATTGTTTCCGAATTTCTCAATGAAAAGAAAGATTCATCTCTGGGAGATGAATGCACACATGAATAAGAAGTTTCTCAGAATGCTTCTGTCTAGTTTCTGTGTTAAGATATTTGTTTTTCACCATAGGCCTCAAACTGCTCAGAAATATTCCTTTGCAGATTGTACAAAAAGATTGTTTCCAAACTGCTCAATGAAAACAAAGGTTCAACACTGTGACATGAATACTCACATCACAGAGAAGTTTTTCAGAAAGCTTCTGTTTAGTTTTTAAGTGAAAATATTTCCTTTTTCACCATAGGCCTCAAAGCACTCCAAATATCCTTTTGCAAACTCTACAAAAAGAGAGTTTCCAACTGTTCAATTAAAAGAAAGATTCGAATCTGTGAAAAGAAAGTACACATCACGAAGAAGTTTCTCATAATGCTTCTCTCTACTTTTTTTGTGAAGATATTTCCTATATCACCATGAGCCTCAAAGATCTCACAAATACCCCATTGCAGATTCTACAAAGACAGTTTTCGAACTGCTAAATGAAAAGAAATGTTCAACTCTGTGAGACGAATGCACACATAATAAATTAGGTTATCATAATGCTTCTGTCTAGTTTTTATGTGAAGATATTTCTTTTTCACCATAGGCATCAAACCGTTCAGAAATATCACTTTGTAGATTGTACAAAAAGACTGTTTCTAAACTGCTCAATCAAAAGAAAATTTCAAACTGGTGAGATGAATGCACACATAACAAAGGAGTTTCTCAGGAATCTTTTTTTTTTATTTTCAACACTTTTTTATTTCTTTCAAAGTTAGTTTTTTAATTTATTATTATTATATTTTAAGTTTTAGGGTACATGTGCACAATGTGCAGGTTTGTTACATATGTATACATGTGCCATGCTGGTGTGCTGCACCCACTAACTCGTCATCTAGCATTAGGTATATCTCCCAATGCTATCCCTCCCCCTTCCCCCCACCCCACAACAGTCCCCAGAGTGTGATATTCCCCTTCCTGTGTCCATATGTTGCTCTCATTGTTCAATTCCCACCCATGAGTGAGAATATGCGGTGTTTGGTTTTTTGTTCTTGCGATAGTTTACTGAGAATGGTGATTTCCAATTTCATCTATGTCCCTACAAAGTACATGAACTCATCATTTATTATAGCTGCATAGTATTCCATGGTGTATATGTGCCACATTTTCTTAATCCAGTCTTCTGTCTTGTTTTTAGTGAACATATTACCTTTCTCAACATAGGCCTCAAAGCAATCCAAACATCCATTTGCAGATTCAACAAAAAGACTGCTTCCAAACTAATCAATCAAAACAAATTTTTACCTCTGTGAGATGAAAGCACACATCACAAAAAAGTTACTCAGACAGCTTCTCTCTAGTTTGTATGTGAAGATATTTTCTATTTTACCTGAGGTCATAAAGGGCTCACAAATATCCCTTTGAAGCTTCTACAAAAAGACTGTTTCCAAACTGCTCAATCAAAAGAAAGTTTCAACTCTGTGAGATGAATGGACACATCACAAAGAAATTTCTTGGAATGATTCTGTCTAGTTTTTATGTGAAGATATTTCTCTTTCACCATAGGTCTCAAAATGATCAGAATTATCCCTTTGCAGATTGTTCAATAAACCTCTTTCTAACCTGCTCAATAAAAAGAAAGGTTCAACTCTGTGAGATGAATGCACACATTACAAGGAAGTTTCTCAGAAAGCTTCTGTTTAGTTTTTATGTGAGGATATTGCGTTTTTCACCATGGGCCTCAATAGCGCTCAAAATATCCATTTGCAGATTCTAGATAAAGAGTGTTTCCAAACTCCTCAATCAAAAGAAAGTTTCAATTCTGTGAGATGAAAGCACACATCACAAAGAAGTTTCTTAGAAAGCTTCTTTCTAGTTTTTATGTGAAGATATTTCACATTGCACCATAGTACTCAATGCGCTCAGAAATATTCCTTTGCAGATTCTACAAAAGGGCTGTTTCCAAACTGCTCAATCCAAAGAAAGTTTCAACTATGTGAGATGAATGCACACATCAAAAAGAAGTTTCTCAGAATGCTTCTTTCTAGTTTATATGTGAAGAAAATTCCTATTTCACCATAGGCAATAAAGGGCTCACAAATATTTTTTTGCAGATTCTACAAAAAGACTGTATCCAAACTGCTCAATAAAAAGAAAGTTTCAACTCTGTTAGATTAATGGACACATCAAAAAGTAATTTCTCAGAAAATTTCTGTTTAGTTTTTATGTGAGGATATTTCCTTTGTCACCATTGACCTCAAAGCACTCCTAATATCCATTTACAGATATCACAAAAAGAGTGTTTCCAAACTGCTGAATCAAAAGAAAGTTTTAACTCTGTGAGATGAAAGCACACATCTCAAAGAACTTTCTCAGAAAGCTTCGGTCTAGTTTTCATGTGAAGATATTTCCAGTTTCACCATAGGCCTCAAAGGGCTAAGAAATATCCCTTTCCAGTTTCTAAAAGACAACCATTTCCATACTGCTCAATCAAAAGAAAGCTTAAATTCTGTGAGGTGAATGCACACATGAGAATGAAGTTTCTCAGAACTCTCCTGTCTAGTTTTTATGTGACGATATTTACTATGTCACTATAAGCTTCAAATGTCTCAAAAATATCCCTTTGCAGATTCTACAAAAATATGGTTTCAAAAGTGTGAATTAAAAGAAACCTTCAAATCTGTCAGATGAATGGAGACATCACAAAGAAGTTCCTCAGAATGCTTCTGTCTAGTTTAAATATGAAGATATTTCTTTTTCACATAGACCTCAAATGGCTCAGAAATACACCTTTGCAGAATGCAGGAAAAGACTGTTTCTAAACTGCTCAAACAAAATAAAGTTTCAACACTGTGAGATGAATGCACACATCACAAAGAAGTTTCTCAGAATGCTTCTGTGTGGTTATTATGTGAAGGTATTTCCTTTTTCACCATGGGCCTGAAAGCACTCCAAATATCCACTTGCAGATTCTACAAAAAGAGTGTTTTCAAACTGCTCAATGAAAAGAAAGGTTCAACTCTGTGAGATGAAAGCACACTTCACAGAAGTGTTTCTTAGAAACCTTCTATCTAGTTTTTATGTGAAGATATTTCATATTTCAAAATAGGTCTCAATGGGCTCAGAAGTATACTCTTGCAGATGCTACAAAAAGAGTGTTTCCAAAAAGCTCAATCAAAAGAAAGGTTTAACACTGTAAGATAAATGCACACATTACAAAGAAGTCTCTCAGAATTCTTCTGTATAGTTTTTTTGAGAAGCCACTTCTTTTTTCACTGTAAGCCTGTCCGCTCACTAATAGCCCTCTGCAGATACTACAAAAGACTCTTTCCAAACTGCTCAATCAAAATAAAGTTTCACATCTGTGAGATGAAAGCCCACGTCACAAAGAACTTTCTCAGAAAGTTTCCGTCTAGTTTTTATGTGAAGATATTTCCTATTTCTCCTTAGGCCTCAAAGGGATCACAAATATCCCTATTCAGATTCTACAAAAAACTGTTTCCGAACTGCTTCATCAAAAGAAAGGTTCAACTCTGTGAGATCAATGCACACATGCAAAATTAGTTTATCAGAATGTTTCTGTCCAGTTTTTATTTGAAGTTATTACTTTTTCACCATAGGTCTCAAACCGCAAACAAATATTCCTTTGCAGATTGCACAAAAAGCATGTTTCCACACTGCTCAATGAACTGAAAGGTTCAACTCAGTGAGATGAATGCAAACATCACAAAGAGTTTTCTCAAAATGCTTCTGTCTAGGTTTTAGATGAAGATATTTACTTTTTCACCATAGGCCTCAAACTGCTGACAAATATCCCTTTGCAGATTCTACAAAACGAGTTGTTGCCAAACTTCTCAATGAAAAGCAAGGTCCAAATCTGTGAGATGAAAGCACACATCACAAAGAAGTTTCTCAGAAAGTTTCTGTCTAGTTTTTAAATGCAGATATTTTCTTTTTCACTATAGGCCTCAAAGCACTCCAAATATCCATTTGCAATTTCTACAAAAAGAGTGTTTCCAAACTGCTCACTCAAAAGAGAGGTTCAACTCTTTGTGGTGAAAGCACACAGTACAAAGAAGTTTTACAAAAAGCTTCTGCCTAGTTTTTATGTGAAGACATTTCCTATTTCACCATAGGCCCCAATGGGCTCACAAACATCCCTTTGCAGATTCTGCAAAAGAATTCTTTCCAAACTGCTCAATCCACAGAAAGTTTTAACTCTGTGACATGAATGCACACATCACAAAGAAGTTTCTCAGAATGCTTCTGTCTAGTTTTTATGTGAAGAAATTTCCTGTTCACCATAGGCCTGAAATGCTGCAAATATCCATCTTCAGATTCTACAAAAAGAATGTTTACAAACTGCTCAATCAAAGAAAAGTTCAACTCTGTGAGATGAAAGCACACAACACAAAGAAGTTTCTCCAAAAGCTTCGGTCTAGTTTTTTTGTGAAGATATTCCCTATTTCACCACAGTCCTGAAAGGGCTCACAAATATCCTTTTGCACATTATACAAAAAGACTGTCCCCAAACTGCTCAATCAAAAGAAAGTTTCAACTCTGTGTGATGAATGCACACATTACAAAGAAGTTTCTCAGAATGCTTTTGCTAGTTTTTATATGAAGATATTTCTCTTTCACAGTAGGCCTCAAATGGCTCAGAAATATCCCTTTGCAGATTGTACAAAAAGACCGTTTCCAAACTGCTCAATCAAAAGAAAGTTTCAACACTGTGAGATGAATGCACACATCACAAAGAAGTTTCTCAGAATGCTTCTGTTAAGATTTCGTGTGAAGATATTTCCTTTTTCACCATAGGCCTCAATGGGCTCAGAAGTATTACTTTGTAGATTTTACAAAAGGTCTGTTTAGAAAACTGCTGAATCCAAAGAAAGATTCAACTCTGTGAGATGAATGCACACATTACAAAGAAGTTTTGCAGAATGCATCTGTCTAGTTTTTATGTGCAGATATTTCTTTTTTCACCATAGGCCTCAAAGCGCTCCAAATACCCATTTGTAGATTCTACAAAAAGAGTGTTTCCAAACTGCTCAATCAAAAGAAAGGTTCAAACCTGTGACACGGAAGCAAACATCACAAAGTAGTCTCTCAGAAAGCTTCTGTCTATTTTTTATGTGACGATATTTCCTATTTCACCATGGGCCGTATAAGGCTCACAAAATTTTTTTGTAAATTCTGCAAAAAGACTGTTTCCAAACTGCTCAATCCAAGGGAAGTTTCAACTCTGTGAGATGAATGGACACACCACAAAAAAGTTTATCAGAATGCTTCTATCTACTTTTTATGGGAAGACATTTCTTTTTCACCCTAGGCTTCAATGGGCTCAGAAATATCCCTTTGCAGATTCTACAAAAGGACTGTTTCCAAACTGCTCAATCAAAGAAAGGTTCAACTCTGTGAGATGAATGCACACATCACAGAGATGTTTCTCACAATGCTTCTGTCTATTTTTTATGTGAAGTTATTCACCTTTTCACCATAGGCCTCAAAGCACTCCAAACATCCATTTGCTGATTCCGCAAAAAGACTGTTTCAAAACTGCTCAATGAAAAGAAAGCTACAACTCCGTGTGTTGAAAGTACACATCACAAAGAAGTTTCTCAGAAAGCTTATGTCTAGTTTTTCTTTGAGGATATTTTCTGTTTCACCATGGGCCATAAAGGGCCCAAAAATATTTTTCACAGATTCTACAAAAAGACTATTTCCAAACTGCTCAATCCAAAGAAAGTTTCAACTCTGTGAGATGAATGGACACAATACAAAGAAGTTTCTCAGAATACTTCTGTCTAGGGTTTACATGAGATATTTCCTTTTTCACCACAAGCCTCAAAGCGCTCCAAATATCCATTTGCAGATTCCACAAAAAGACTGTTTCCAAGTTGCTCAATGAAAAGAAAGTTTCAACTCTGTGAGGTGAAAACACACATCACAAAGAAGTTTCTCAGAATGTATCTTTCTAGATTTTTTGTGAAGATATTTCCTTTTTCAACATAGGCCTCAAAGCACTCCAAGTATCTATTTGCAGATTCTACCAAAAGACTGTTTACAAACTGCTAAATCAAAAGAAAGTTTCAGCTCTGTGATATGAATGCAGACATCACAAAGAAGTTTCTCAGAAAGCTTCTGTTTAGTGTTTATCTGAAGATATTTCCTTTTTCTCCATAGGCCTCAAAGCTCTCCAAATATGCATTTCCAGATTCTATAAAAAGTCTGTTTCCAAACTGCTCAATGAAAAGAAAGGTTCAACTCTGTGAGATGAAAGTACATATCACAAAGAAGTTTCTCAGAATGTTTCTTTCTAGTTTTTTTTGGAAGATATTTCCTTTTTCACTATAGAACTCAGAGCACTCCAAATACCCATTTGCAGATTCTACAAAAAAGACTGTTTACAAACTGCTCAATCAAAAGAAGTTTTCAACGCTGTGAGATGAATGCACACATTACAAAGTAGTTTCTCAGAAAGCTTCTGTTTAGTTTTTATGTGAAGATATTTCCTTTTTCACCATAGGCCTCAAAACGCTCCAATTATCCATTTGCAGATTATGCAAAAAGAGTGTTTCCAAACTGCTCATTCAAAAGAAACACTTAACTCTTTGAGATGAGAGCACTCATTAAAAATAAGTTTCTCAGAAAGTTTCTGTCTAGCTTTTATGTGAAGATATTTCCAATATCACCAAAGGCCTCAATCGGCTGAGAAGTATTCCTTTGGGGATTCTACAATAGGACTGTTTCCAAAGTGCTCTAGCAAAGGAAAGGTTCAACTCTGTGAGATGAATGCACGCATCACTAAAACGTTTCTCAGAAAATTTCTGTGTAGTTTTTATGTGAAGATATTTCCTACTTCACCCTAGGCCTCAAAGGGTTCACAATTATCCCTTTATAGATTTTACAAAAAGACTGTTTCCAAATCTTCAATCAAAGAAATGTTCAAATGTGTGAAATGAATCCAACCCTCACAAAGAAGTTTCTCAGAATT